>NC_000001.11:179851253-180154283 GCF_000001405.40 Homo sapiens | reverse complement strand
AGCCCCTCTTCACTGTGGGGTGTGCTGGGTTGGCGGGCAGTTGCCGTGGAATCAGTTTCCTCAGGACCCATATCTGACCACCCTCATAAGGTTGTCAGGGCGATTCCAACATTCGGGGTTCCCAGCAGCCCAGATCCCCCACATCCAGCTCTTCAGCCTACTCAGAGCTCTCCACGCTCACTCACATGTCCCTCTCGCAAGTAGCCCGATCAACTCACCTGGTGTCATGGGCACTAAGGTGTTAATGGATTTTCTCTGGTCACCTTTGCAGCTCCACTGTTTTGAGTGAGTTATTTTAAGGGGAGAAGGTGCTCCTCAGACGGTTGTCACAGTGATATTTTTCCTTTGTGACTGCCAGGTTAGCCCCTTTCACCTGTAAGAGCTTTGAGCCTAGATTTGTTATTCATTTATTCAAGTTTTACTGAGTGGTGTCATGCCAGGCACTTGTTTAGGTATAAGGATAAGGCAGTAAACAAAATATAGACTCTAGGGACGTGGAACTTACATTCCAGTGGGGGTAAAGAGATGATACATAAGTAAATGTAGATCAGATGGTGACCGATGTTATGAAGAAATGTAGACTGGGGTAAGAATAGAGTGGCAGAGGAGGTGCTATTTTACACACGAAGATCAGGGACAGGTCTACCCTTAATATTTGCAAGAACTGAGTCAGTAGTACAAATGGAGGCCCACATATCATGTCTACATATTTTAAAACTACAAATTAAACGGTGATGTAAAATTCCTATCCTTTTATCTTGACATGTATACCTTCATCATAATCTGGAAGGCCACATTTAAGTTTAGGATTCTTGGACCCTTCTGAGATACGCCCTCGAATGTAGTGCTTTGGAGGGGGAACATGTCCTTGGCCCTCAGCCTTCCTTCTTCTCTTGGCACCCCAGCTCTGTCCCATACTTCAAATGGCCTTTTGCCCACACCTATAACAACGACATCTGCACATCAGAGTTTTGTCCACACCTGCAAATAGCCTCCCCTTGACCACCCCTTGCTCCTCAGGAGGATAGACCTTGGGAAAAGGCTGAGGCAGCCTGTAGCTGGTGACCTGTTGCTATTGCGGCACTATTTTCTAGGGTCCCAGGAACTCACAGTATGCTCTAAAAAGGAGAGGGGCAAGAGCTCTGAGTGAGTACATCCCGTTGGCCCGTGGGATTTCTTGCCCTATGGAAAGGAACATGGACGGAAGAGAATCAGGTGCTCAGAGCCCTAGACTGGGGCTCCTCTTGCCCCAGTCTTGAGGCAGTTCTAAAGAGGTAACATTTGAGCCAAAGACCTAAATGAAGTATGGGAGGAAGCCCTGTGGGAGTCTGGGTTAGGAGCACTCCAGGAAGTGGTCCAGAGGTTGGAGTTTTTACTCCCTTCATGTGTTCATATCTGTCTGCCTGAAGTCTTAAGCTGCATAGAGAAATTATGTGTTAGCCAATTGGAGTGTTAGTACCTTGCTAACTCTCCTCCCCATGACGCAGCCAATTCCAGTTGCTGGGTACTCCTCCCCGGGACTCAGTCCCTGTACAGCTTCTGCTCTCCAACTTTTCTCGCTCCTAGCAGCCTCTGGAACCAGAATGGACGGTCCTCTAGTAACGCTGGATTCTATGGGTTGGAAGTACTGCAGCGGCTGGATCAGGTTCCAGTAAAGTTTTGTACCTTCAAATGTCTCTGTTGTTAAACAGTGTTGTAGTTATCTTTCCCATGGGCCTAGAAATTAAGGAGACAAATGTCTACTGAACATGCTGAGTGCTTGAGAAAGACACTCCAGATAAATACATAAAGACTTGCTTGTTTGAATATCTGTTTCAGAGCATCAGAAATGGCAAAGAATACAAACTATTTGAATGGAATAGAGAAAAGTTTCTTGGCAATGGTGCCAAAGAGGTTTAAGACTGAGAGTTTTAAAGTCTGGGGTTTCTGTATCTCATCAGAAGGGGGATTTTCGACTTTTTAAAGACTTGGAAACCATTGTTCAAACAGAATCTTGAAACTTAAACAGATAAGAGCAATAACAAAGATATAACCTAGAGCAAAACCCACTTTCTGTGGTCAGTGGGGCTCCCTAGGCCTCTATTTGACAATCACTGGTTTAGAATTAAGAGCAGAAAACGTGAGAATCGCAATTGCCCTTCTTGCCCTTCCTGGAACTTCCTGGGATGAAAAGGTTGCGGAAAAGGAAATCTACTCAGAAATGGGTGTTGAGAGAGGAAGGGGTGCTGCGGAAAACCCCGGAAGCTGGAGGGAGCACTTAGAAATTCCTACCGAAGTCCCCTTTTCCCCCTTCCTACATATAAATTGTAGGAAAGGGGGCCGAGATGAATCAGATGAGCAAATACTCATGGTGTGGGCTAGCACTTTGCACCTGCTGCTCTAAGGATTTACAGATGGTACTCATTTAGTCCTCACACCAACCCTTAATATGAGGGTTGATATTATACCAACTCTGAACCTCAACATGAGGTTGATAAACCATTTTTACAGATGGGGACTGAAGCGGAAGGGGCCCTGTTGACTTTACCACTTGTGAATCATTCATGTGTTATGCATGAATAAAAGAGAGGGAATTTGGAAGTCTGCCACCCAAAAATGAAATAAATTATGAGAGGAACGCAGCTTATACACAATTCACATAATTATAGTGAGCAATAGAAGAGTGTTTGGTAAAATATGTCACCCAGTAGCATTAGATGACTTTCCCCTTACTCATTCGCACCAAGGATCAGAGAAGGTGTATGCAACTGGAGGCAGGTGCCCAGCAACAGAAAAGAGACCCTTGCTTTGTCCCTCAAAACTCTAGGTCTTCCAGATGAACCTTTCCACAGCTGGGACAGTTAGAACCCTAATTCTGAAAGTTGGAAGAAAAATAGCAAGAGTGTGTATCAGTTAGATATGAAAGGAAAGAGAAAGCACGTTCCAAGGGTCTACTGAAAATGGTTTACTGGAAGAACTATTCACAAGGTTGTGTGCAGGGCAGAGGGAACTAATTAGGGACTGGCAAAAGCAAAAAGCCTTTCTAGCACTCCTGGACCAGAGCAGAGAAAGGGAGGGAATTTTGTGATGAAAACCAGTGACAGCAGGAAGTGAGGGAGAGGGGCTGCCCAACTGGTGTTGCAATCACATGATGCCACCACTGCCAGAAACACAGGGAGGCACTGGGAGAGTATGACTTCCACTTTTTTCTCCTCCAATCCTCCAATCCTTCTTGCCATTGTCTCCCACTGGCCAAACCCAGTCAAAGCCAGAGGGTGAACATGCCCTGATTATATAGTCTGTAGAAGTTGGCTTCCAAGACAAAAGGCAGGACAGTGGAGGGTGGAGAATGGAGAATAATGTACCTAGTACAGGGTCCCCAAATTTGGGCCCTTCAAGGCCTTAGAAATAAGAATGGAAAACACAGAAATCCCTGAACATCCTTCTGTGAGTCTCCTGAGTAGGAGTTGGGGGCTAGAAATCTATCTGACCATTAGAGAAAGCAAGCCGGAGGAAGAGGGTAACAGAGATTCCTTCCCAGCTGCTCATCCTTTCCTATCCACACTTAGTCTAATTGCCCTATTCTGTATCTGTAGAGGAAACAGGCCCAGAAAAGCGGAGTGTCTTGCTAAAGGCCACGCAGGAAGGTAATGGCAGAGCCATTTTTGCCAGGCTTTCCAATACAGCCATAGAAGTATTGAGAAGGGGACGTCTGTGAAAGGGATATGTGGGCAGACTCCCATGTTCAGGTCAACCTTCCCTGGTCCCCAGGTCACCTGATGACAATTCAAAGGGCATAGGCACACACACCCGCACACACACACACTACACACACACTACACACACACACACAGAGCTAATTATTTAGAGTAGAATGAAGATACAAGACTATAGAATCAAGAAGACCTTGTTGTCTGTGGTCTTTGGCTTAATATCAGGGGTGAGGCCTTTTGGGAACCTGCAAGTCATCAAATGAGGCCTAAAGTCAGAGACAGGAAAGCCACATTGTTGATTTGCTGGGATACAGGGTGCTAACCTTCCACAGAGATTTCTGGGGACCTTGGCAACGTGATGCTATTATAAGATTTATTTGGGGAAACTTTAAGCTTCTGGAGTGGATGTTCTAATTTGGAATATTTCCTACCGTGACTTAAGGATGTATACGGCAGTTCTTCTATAACAGATAAATACTCACAACTCTAAATAAGGTACTATACAACACTATGACTGCAAATGGACAGAATTTATCAACTTTTTAAATAACAAGAGCATTCTCAGAATTTCCCTGAAGAGAAGGTAATAATGTTATCAGTACATGTTAGAAGCTGCATTAAATGTGTGTGTGGAGGGAGAAGGGTGGGAGGAGCAGGGACAAGTTGAAAGAGGGCAGTCAGCTGAAGCTAGGTTGGGCTCATCCTTCTTCCCCAAAGCCACCAGTTTAACTCTCGTGGTAGATCCTGGGGTAAGGTAGATGAACACTTGGTCTTTGGAGTCAGGATACTTGGGTCTCAGTCCTTGGCAACTCTCTGAGCTTCAGTCCCCTCATCTGTAAAATGGGCAAGCAGTCATTTTAAGTGTGTAGTTCCCATCTATGAGTGCTATGGTGATTGTTATATGTTCACCTCTGGCTCTACTAGTGGTTCCCATTACCTATCCAAGCCCCAGCCTAGTCTAGATGCCTGACAGAGTTTACCAGTCCAAGGGTGAAAAGCAGTTTCCTTTTTTTCTTTTTTTTTTTTTTCTTTTTTTTTTGAGACAGAGTGTCACTCAGTTGCCTAGGCTGGAGTGCAGTGGCACAATCTTGGCTCACTACAACCTCTGCCTCTAGGGTTCAAGCAATTCTCATGCCTCAGCTTCATTAGTAGCTGGGATTACAGATGTACACCACCACGCCCAGCTAACTTTTGTATTTTTAGTAGAGATGAGGTTTCGCCATGTTGGCCAGGCTGGTCTCGAACTCCTGACCTCAAGTGATCTGCCCATCTCCATCTCAGCCTCCCAAAGTGCTGGGCTTACGGGCATGAGCCACTGTGCCCAGCCTGGAAAGCAGTTTTCTATTTTTCCTATTTTTAAAATATTAGATGTTTCTTTTAAAAATACGACGATGGAGGGCGGAATGAATAGGTGGAATACGGAGACTTTTTTAGGGCATTGAACTTAACTGGCGTCGCCTTGTGTTTTCTTTGGGGAGGTTGTGTAGAGAAGGAAAATTTTAATTTTCTGACCCCGTTTCATTAAAAATTTTTTTTGGCCGGGCGCGGTGGCTCACGCCTGTAATCCCAGCACTTTGGGAGGCTGAGGCAGGCAGATCACGAGGTCAGGAAATCGAGACCATCCTGGCTAACATGGTGAAACCCCGTCTCTACTAAAAATTAAAAAAAAAAAAAAAATTAGCCGGGCGTGGTGGCAGGCACCTGTAGTCCCAGCTACTCAGGAGGCTGAGGCAGGAGAATGGCATGGACCCAGGAGGCGGAGGTTGCAGTGAGTCGAGATTGTGCCACTGCACTCCAGCCTGGGCGACAGAGTGAGACTCCGTCTCAAAAAAAAAAAATTTTTTTTCATGCCCATGTATTACTTTTAAAAATCAACTTTATTAACATATAATTTACAGACAATAAAATTCACCCACTTTAAGTTCATATTTCCATGTGTTTTGAGAAATGTGCATACCTGTATAACCAACAGCGCAATCAAAATGTAGATCAGGCCGGGCTCAGTAGCTCACTCCTGTAATCCCAGCACTTTGGGAGGCCGAGGTGGGCCAATCACCTGAGGTCAAGAGTTCGAGACCAGCCTGGCCAACATAGCGAAATCCCATCTCTACTAAAAATACAAGAAATTAGCTGGGCATGGTGATGCATGCCTGTAATTCCAGCTACTCAGGAGGCTGAGGTGGGAGGATCGCTAGAACTCCGGGAGGTAGAGGTTGCAGTGAGGTGAAATCATAACACTGCACTCCAGCCTGGGTGGCACAGGGACACCCTGTCAAAAAGAAAAAAAAGGAGTCATCAGACCTTTTCTTGAGTGATTATGCCACTTTATATTCCTGCCAACAATGTAGGAGAGTTCTGGATGCACAACATGCTTGCCAATATTTGGTGGTGTCGGTCTTTTTGAGTGTTATTCATTCTGGTAGGTGGGTAATACATCTCATTTAGGTTTTAATTTGCATTTCCCTGGTAACTAACAGTTAAACATCTTTTCATGGCTATTCTTAAATATTCGTGTGTGTGTGTGTGAAGTATCTGTTGAAATCTTTTGCTCCTTTTAAAAAGTTAGGTTGTCTTATTACCGAATTGTAAGAGTTCTGTATGTATAGGTATATATGTACTTAAATTTACATATATACATATATATGCTGGATGCAAATCCTTTGTCAGATGTATGTTTTGCAAACATTTTCTCTCAGTCAATAGCTTGTGTATTAATTTTCTTTCTTTTTATTATTATTTTTTTGAGACGGAATCTTGCTCTGTCGCCCAGGCTGGAGTGCAGTGGTGCAATCTCGACTCACTGCAACCTCCATCTCCCGGGTTCAAGTGACTCTCCTGCCTCAGCCTCCCAAGTAGCTGGGATTACAGGCACACGCCACCACGACTGGCTAATTTTCGTATTTTTAGTAGAGACGGGGTTTCACCATGTTGGCCAGGCTGGTCTCGAACTCCTGACCTCAGGTGATCCACCTGCCTCAGCTTCCCAAAGTGCTGGGATTACAGGTGTGAGCCACTGCACCCAGCCTATTCATTTTCTTAATGGTATCTCTTGATAAGCAGAAGGTTTTTGTTTTTATGAAATCTATTTATCTTTTTTTTTTTCTATTGTGGTTTGCACTTTTTGTGTCCTAAGAAATCTTTGCTTATTCCAAGGCCACAAAGATGTTTTTGTATGTTTTCTTTTCTTTCTTTTTTTTTTATGAGACAGGGTCTTGCTCTGCCACCCAGGCTGGAGCGCAGTGGCACGATCACAGCTCCCTGCAGCCTCGACCTCCTAGGCTCAAGCGATCCTCCCACCTCGGCCTCTGAGTAGCTGGAACCACAGGCACTCTACAATGCCCAGCTAATTTTTTATTTTTTTATAGCAGCATGGTCTCACTATGTTGTCCAGACTGGTCTCGAACTTCTAGGCTCAAGCAATCCTCTCATGTCATCCTCCCAAAGTGCTGGGATTACTGGCATGAGCCACCATGCCCAGCCTTTTCTTGTATGTTTTCTTTTATAAATTTTATAGTTTTAACTCTTACATTTAGGTCTTTGATTCATATCAAGTTAATTTTTGTATATAAGGGTAAGGGTCAAAGTTCATTTATCTCCATAGAAATATCCAGTTGTCTTAGCAACATTTATTGAAAGGACTATCTTTTCCTTATGGAACTGCCTTGGCAGAGTTTTCAAAAAGTAATTTACCATATATGTGTGAATCTATTTCTAGACCCAATTCTGTTCCACTAAAATACATGTGTATATGACACATATGGTATCCTTGTGCTGGTATCACACTGCCTTGATTACTATAGCATCATAGTAAGTCTTTTAATGAGATAAAATTTTATATACCATAAAATTTACCCCTTTAAAGTATACAATTCAGTGGTTTTTAGTATAGTCACAAAGTTGTGCCACCATCATCATTATCTAACTTCAGAACATTTTTATAACTCCAAAAGGAACCCATTAGCAATTACTCCCCACTTCCTGTTGACCCCTGAAAACCACTAACCTAATTTCTGTGTCTAAAATGGAATCTTAGAATATGTAGCCTTTTGTGTTTGGATGCTTTTACTTAGCATAATATTTTCGAGGGTCATCCCTGTTGGAGCATGTGTCAGCATTTCACTCCTTTAAGTGACCCAATAACATTCCATTGAGTTTTATTAGTTGAGTTGTTTTCACCTTTTGGCTATATAAATAATGCTGCTATGAACATTTGTGTATATGTTTTTGTATGAACATATGTTTCAGTCCACTTGGGTATATTCCTAGGAGTGGAATTGCTGGAGAGATATTTATTTATTTATTAATTTATTTATTTATTTGAGATGGAGTTTCATTCTTGTCGCCCAGGCTGGAGTGCAGTGGCACAGTGTCAGCTCACTGCAACCTCCGTCTCCCGGGTTCAAGCAATTCTCCTGCCTCAGCCTCCTCAGTAGCTAGGATTACAGGCATGCGCCACTACACCCGGCTAATTTTTGTATTTTTAGTTGAGACAGGGTTTTGCCATGTTGGCCAGGCTGGTCTCAAACTCCTGACCTCAGGTGATCCACCCGCCTCAGCCTCCCAAAGTGCTGGGATCACAGGCGTGAGCCACTGTGCCTGGCCTGTAATTCTTTATATTAATTGGTAGCAATCCCCCAGTTTTATTTCTCTTTTTTGAATTGTTTTGGTTATTCTAGTTCTTAGCATTTCATATGAATTTTAGAATCAGCTTGTTGGCTTCTTTTAAAAAATAGGAAGCCTATTGAGATTTTGACTGAGATTGCATTACATTTATAGATCAATTTAGTTTGCTACATTTTAATTTTTTAATTAGTTAATTTTTAAAACTATGTCCTCCGTGTGGGGTCAGACTCATAGTTAGGAAGCCAGGAATCCAGACTGGATTGCTAAAATCTTTTCCCACATCTTCAGGATGAGAATGAAGCAATTTTCAGATAGCTTATGAGGTAGAATAGGCCCGCAGGCCCCGAAGCAATCTAGCTGAAGACTTCTCTATCATCTTGTCTGTTTTGTACATTTGTTACCTCATGTTGTTTGTTTCCTTGCTGTTACCACTCAGAATTTTAGTTAGTTCTTTGATAATCTACCCTGTCTTAACAGTGCTAACATGGATATTTGGTTCTGAGCTCTGAGCATTTGGTTCAGAGATCTGTGCTGGAGCCAGTGTGGAGGGGGAAGCTAAGGAGGAAGCAAGAGAACTTCAAGGGCATCTCAGACTCGGGAACAAAAGCTGAGCCTCTTGCCAGCTGAAGGGGCTCCCTGAGATTATGGGATTTGTCTGTATAAAGGAGTTCCTTAGACAGGACTCTCAGTTACACTCAAAAAGATGCTAAATTGAACTAGCTGTGGCAGGAAAGGGGAACTGATTGCCTCAAAGAGCCAAATAGAGGGTAGGGGAAAGCTGTGACACCATCTTTCCTCTCTGCACTTCTAGTCTCTGTACTTTGGCTTCATTCTCTCAGCCCAGCTGCTTCCAGAAGGCTAGAACTCTGGTCACACGCTTTCATTTTTGAGGTCAGAGAGAAAAGACAGAGCTTCTCTGCTGACCCTAGTTAGAAAAACACTGGGGGGAACTGATTGGCCAGGCTTGGGTTATGTGTTCATGCCTAGATCAGTCGCTATAGTCAGGGAGATGGGTCATCCGGGGCAATGTGCTCATTCCTATAGGTAGGAGAGTAAGCACTGTAATTGGCAGCCTTCACTGGTACTGCATGTTTGGAGTAAGGAAGGCGTACTGTTACCAGAGGAAGAGGTCACGTGGGGCTGTACAGACCAAAGTGGACAATGACCACCACTGGGAGGGATAAGGTTGTACGGATCAAATGGGAGAATGAAAGAGTCCAGCACAGGGCTTGAGACAGAATAGGGCTAAACTCATAGGAAAGGCTGAGGTGTGAGTACATCTGGAGGCCACAATACCCATGTTAAGATGCGTCATGAATGTACTGAGATTTCCAGGTGTTTAGGAAAACTTGACTTAAGCCACTTGGGTGCAAAAAAGGGGGAGAGAAGCATACAGAGAAAAAAGAATGTCTTGCAAGAATTTGCCTAGCCCACGTAGGCATTCAAGTAACGCTTGCTGAATAATTGTCCAAATGAAATATTGAGTGTTTTTATGGTCCCAGGTGATGACCACATTAGCATCCAGATGTCTCATTCTTACTTTAAGACAGCCTTGCTCTCAGCAGACATTCTAAAGGATTCTTGAGGCTCCACCCCTTCTTCTCTATTTACCCAGTTGCTCCGTGCTGTTGTCTGTGGAACAAGTCTCCTTTAGAGGATGCTTCTGTTGGACATATGGGCTTTCTGGGCTGGCTGTGCGCAGACATAGCCGTTCATATGCCAAGCTCTGCAGTTGGTGGTTGGCCCTGCCTCACCTGCAGCTGGGTACTGCAACTTCTGGTCTAGTAGGGGGAGTTGGAATGTCTTGTCTACTACTGTACTTTTATAAAAACATAAAATACCCTGTCAGCTACTTGGTGAGCTCAAATTTTTCTAGCTGACATTAGGGGCTCCTCTTCCTAACTTTGTCTTACTACCTGAAACAAGTTACCTTTCTGCCTGTCCTTTCTGGCAACTTGTTTATATTATTAATCTTGTCTTAAAAGTAATCACAAGCCAGGTCAGTGGCTCACATCTGTAATCCCAATACTTTGGGAGGCCAAAGCAGGAGGATCACTTAAGCTCAGGAGTTCGAGTCCAGCCCAAGCAACATAGCAAGAACCCATCTCTACCAAAAAATCAAAATATAAGCCGAGCATGGTGGTGGCATGCCTGTGGTCCCAGCTACTCAGGAGGCTGAGGTGGGAAGATCACTTGAGCCCAGGAATTCAAGGCTGCAGTGAGCTGTGATCACACCACTGCACTCCAGCCTGGGTGACAGAGCAAGACCCTGTCTAAAAAAAAAAAAAAAAAAAAGTAATGACAGCTGCGATTGTCTCCCTTACCATTCACTAATTGTATGAGACCAGATCTCTCTTGTCCTTGCTTGTCTTTGCACGTCCTTGTAGATGCTCAGGAAATGTTGGTTTAAAATAAAAATTATCATAATAGCCATGAATCATTGAGCATCTATATAACCAGCATGATGCCAGGTGCTGGCAATATAGTGATGAACAAAGATGGGCATACTGAGCAGCTAATGAGGATGAAGCTCACCCACAAAGCCCATGTGAGTGCTCGGAGGTGTAGAATGTTTTAGGTAGAGAGAGGAAGCCTGGCTACCTTCAGAAAACACTTCAGTGTTTCTGCTAAATTGTCTAAGTGAACTCCTCAAAGGGGACCTAAACCTCTTAAGATCTAGGAATTTGTTGTGATCCTGATTCTCTAAATGAATACTCATTTATACTTAATTTTGTATTTGTAATTGTGTATTTATTTTCTTAAAGAGAGCCTCCCTCCCCACCAACCCCTATCCCCCTGCTTCCCCAATGGTAAAATATTCAGACTGCAGAAAACCCAAATCCGCCCCTGGTAGTAAATGCAAGACATGGTCCTTGCTCTCTAGTAGTTTACAGTTTAGAGGAAGAGACACTGATCAAAGAGTTGCACAAAAAAGTATATCATGGTAAAGCGTGAGAAGGTAACAAAGAAGAACTGTGGAGTGCCGGGGGTGCAGTAATAGAGAAGGAGTCAGAGAAGCTTCCCTAGGCTGAGAGCTGAAGTTGGGGGAGTAGGCAGCAGTTAGGCAGGGGAGGGGATTCTTTTTTGAGACAGAATTTTGCTCTGTTGCCCAGGCTGGAGTGCAGTGGTGTGATCTTGGCTCACTGCAACCTCCACCTCCTGGGTTCAAGTGATTCTCCTGCCTCAGCCTCCCAAGTAGCTGGAATTACAGGCGTGTGCCACCACGCCCAGCTAATTTTTGTATTTTTAGTGGAGATGAGGTTTCACCACGTTGGCCAGGCTGGTCTCAAACTCCTGACCTCAAGTGATCTGCCCGCGTCAGCCTCCCAAAGTGCTGAGATTACAGGTGTGAGCCACCACGCTCAGCCAGGAGGGGATTCTTAATGCTTCTGCTGCACTGTCACCAGAGTTCTGTGCCCAACTCAGATCTGAAGTAGGTTTCTAGGACACAGAGAGGCAAAGAGGCTGTCCTAGCCTGTTGGTCCCAGAATTCTTCCTGGTCTCTCCCCTCTAGAGTCTTTCCCAGAGCACCTCAGTCCCTGCTTAAAACTTTCCAGTGACTTTCCATCCACTTAGAAAATTCACATTCTGTGTAGACCTACAGGTACTGCCTGCCTCTCAGACAGGGTCTCCCACTCCCCCTGCCCTGCGCTTCTCACGCCACACCACCAACCTGTGACCGCTGGGGTGGTCTTAAGACTACCATTGGCTTAAGTAGTGTTAACTTGGTAGCCCCTCCCCCATGTCATATTCAAATGCACTATCATCTTTCAATATTTTTTGCTGAATAAACTCTTTGGAAGCAATGTTTAGAATTTTGCTTTGGAAATTAACTTTGAGAAACTCCTTTATTTTATAATTGGCTATGATTTCTCAGCAGTTACTTTGCACATGGAGAAGTTACTACAGAGCCAGAAAGTCTAACCAACAAATTGTGCTCAAATGTAATGCAATTTTTTTATGATTAATACATGTAATAGGTAGTAAGGACTTAATTACATCTAGACCATTTAGATAGACGTTTATTAATATGAATTTTGTGAGATCATTCCCTCTCCTCATCTGCAGGTATGTTCTGAAGGCCTAGGAAAGCCCACTGGCCTGGGTGGTGTGGCCGCCATGCCTACAGGATGTCTCTGCTGGCTCCTGCCTCAGGCCCCCGTCCCCGCTGTTCTTTCTGCCTGCATGCTCTTCTTGTGGCTCCTTGAAACGAGTCAGGGAAGGGGAATGCTAAGTGGCCCACTCCCCTTATTTACTCTGTTACTCAAATAGTTTCCTTGGGCTGCCCTTAACAAAGTACCACAAACTGGGTGACTTCAACAAGGCCAGAAGTTCAAGATGAGTGCTTCAAAAATGTATTTGCTCATAGGTCTGGAGCCAGAAGGCCCAAATCCAAGTGTCTTCAGGGTTGGCTTCTTCTGAGGGCTGCGAGGGAGGGTGTGTTCAGGCCTCCCTGGTAGCTCGGGCTCTCTCTTAGCCTCAGCCATTCCCTAGCTTGCAAACACAAACTCCTGGTGCTTCCCAGCACCTTCCCTCTGTCTCCAAAGTTCTCCTTTGTGTAAAGACACTGTCATATGGGATTAGGACCATCCTAATGACCTCATCTTAACTTGATTACCTCTGTAAAGATCCTATCTCCAAATAAGGTCGCATTTTGAGGTATGGGATGGGGTTAGTATTTCAGTTTTGTTTTTTATTTTTGAGGCAAGGCAGGGTCTTGCTCTGCTGCCCAGGCTAGAGTGCAGTGGTAAGATCATGGCTCACTGCAGCCTTGAATTCCCGGGCTTAAGCAATCCTCCCGCCTCAGCCTCCCAGGTAGCTGGGACTACAGGTGTGCACCACCATGCCCAGCTAATTTTTGTATTTTTTGTAGAGGTGATATTTCACCATGTTGCCCAGGCTGGTCTCAAACTCCTGGGCTCAAGCAATCTACCCACCTTGGCCTCCCAAAGTGCTGGGATTACAGGCATGGAACACCGGGCCCCAGCCTAGGACCACAACATCTTTTGGGGAAGTACGATTCAACTGATAACACGTTTGTTTATTTGATTTTACAATTGGCCTTCTGTTCTGTACCCAAGGATTCAACCAACCATGGACTGCAAATATTCAGGGTGAAAAAATTCCACAAAGTTACAAAAAGTAAAACTTGAATTTGCATGTGGTGATTACTACACTAATTCCACATGAATGAAGTGATGTGGAGGCATTGTAATAGGTACTATAAGCAATCTAGAGATGATTTAAAGTATATGGGAAGATGTGCATACGTTATGTGCAAATACTATGCCATTTTATATCAGGCATTTGAGCATCTGTGGATTTGGGTATCTTCAGGGATCCTGGAACAAATCCCCCATGGATAGAGAGGGACAACTGTATACCTCATTAATTAGGTCTTAGTTCAAATGTTCTCTCCTGAGAGCTTTTTGTCACCAGCCTCTTTAGAATCCCCTTCCTCCTGCATTACTATATCTTTTCCTTAGCAATGTCATTGTAACAAGAAGCCTCTACATTGGTACTTATAAACTTCTAATTCCATGTTCAAATAAATATATTTCCTCCCTACACTGGCTTGAAAAATGTTTATTCTGATTTTCTGTGTGTTGTTTTCTTTGAGCCATGAATTATTGAGAAATAAATTATTTAATTTCCAAATGTTTGGGATTTTCTTAAATATCTTAATGTGATTAATTTCCAATTTAATTGTATTGGGGGTTATTTTATTTTGTTAATTAGTTTATTTTAGAATCAGATTCTCACCCTGTCACCCAGGCAGAGTGCAGTGGCATAATCATAGCTCAGTGTAGCCTCAACCTCATGTGCTTAATTAAGCGATCCTCCTGCCTCAGCCTCCCAAGTAGCTGGGACTACAGCAATGCGCCACTACAACTGGATAATTTTTTTAATTTAGTTTTTGTAGAGATGGGGTCTTGCTGTATCACCTAGGCTGGTCTTGAACTCCTGGCCTCAAGTGATCCTCCCGCCTTGGTCTCCGGAAGCATGGGGATCATGGGCATGAGCCACTGCATCCGGCCTGAAGTTGTATTTTAAAATGTGTATAGTTTTAACTCTTCTCAATTTCTTGAGCTTTGTTTTTGTGGTCCTGCATATGGTCATTCTTGGTAAAGATGCCACACTCACTTTAGAGTGATGTGCATTCTACAGTTGTTGAGTGTTGTGTTCTGTAATTATCAGTTAGGTCAAGGCAATTGACAGTGTTGTCCAACCATCTTGTCTTTACTGACTTGTTCTATCAATTGCTGAGAGAGAGAGAGAGATTAAAAATCTCTTACTGTAATTGTGGGACTGTCTTTTTCTCTTTTGTTGATTTTTTTTTTTTTTTTTGAGACGGAGTCTTGCTCTGTCACCCAGGCTGAAGTGCAGTGGCGCGATCTCAGCTCACTGCAACCTCCACCTCCTGGGTTCAAGCGATTCTCCTGCCTCAGTCTCCCGAGTAGCTGGGACTACAGGCGCCTGCCACCATGCCTGCCTAATTTTTTGTATTTTTAGTAGAGACAGAGTTTCACCATGTTAGCCAGGATGGTCTCGATCTCCTGACCTCCTGACCTCGTGATCTGCCCGCCTCGGCCTCCCAAAGTGCTGGGATTACAGGCATGAGCCACCATGCCTGGCCTTTCTGTTGACTTTTGCTTCATGTATCTTAGTCTCTGTTATGAAGAAGAACGCACATGTTTATAATCGTTATGGCTTCCTGATGAATTGATCCTTCTATCATTACAAACTGCCTGTTTTTATCTGTGGTAGTACTTCTTAACCTTGAATTCTGTTTTATCTGTTATTAATATATCCATTATTTTATCTGTTATTAATATATCTATTGCTGTTATTTATCTGTTATTAATATATCCATTGTATTGCTGCTAAGGAGGATATATATATATGAGGAGGATATATATAAAGGAGGATATGTAAATATGTATACATATATATACCCCACATATATATGTGTATATATACATATATACCCCACTTATATATATATATATACACACACATATATATGTATATATATACATATATACCCCACTTATATATATATACCCACACACATATATATGTGTATATATATACATATATACCCCACTTATATATATATACACACACATATACACACATATATATGTATATATATACATATATACCCCACTTTTATATATATATGTATATATACATATATACCCCACTGCAGTCTTCTCAATCTTTTACAGTTTACATGGCGTAGCTTTTTCTATTCATTTACTTTCAAGTTATTTATGTCTTCATATTAAAAGTATGTCTTTTGAGACAACATGTAGTTGGGTCTTGCTTTTTCATTCATTCTCACAATCTCTGCCTTTTAATTGGAGTATCCAATTAACTAACAATGCAATATTGATATGGTTGGACTTATGTCTTGCTTTGTTATCTTCTGTTTTACTCTCTGTTGTTTGTTTTTCCCTTTCCTGCCTTCTTTTGGACTATGTGAATCTTTTCTAGAATTCCATTTTAATGTATCTATTGGCTTTTTGGTTATGCCTCTGCAATTTTTAGTGGTTACGTTAGGTCATTGGTTCTTACAAGGGGGGCAGTGGACATTTACCCCTCCAGTGGACAGTTGGCAATGTCTGAAGGCATTTTTAGTTGACACAGCTAGGTAGGGTGGCACTACTGACATTTAGTGGGTAGGGGTAGAAGCCAGAGATGCTGATAAACATCCTTCATTGCTCAGGACAGCCCCCCACCACAAAGAATTATCTGGCCAAAATGTGAATAGTGCTGCTATTGAGAGACACTAACTTCTCACAGTCCACTTAGAGTTAATATTATACTTTACATAAACTCTTCACAGTCTATTTAGAGCTAATATTGTACTTCACATAAAATGCAGAAACTTCATAATTGTGTAAGTCCATCTGCTACCCTGCTGCCTCTGTTCTTTATAACAGTGGTTCCTGTTATAAAGAACAGTTCCTGCCTGCTGCATATTTTGTACATAAAGTTTTATTGGAACACTGCCACGGCCATTACTTTTGGTTTTTATATGGCTACAAGTGGCAGAGTTGAGTCTTTGTGACAGAGATTCTATGGCCCCAATCCAAATATTTCCTATCTTGCCCTCTACAGAAAATGTTTGCCAACCCGTGCTTTATATTATAGTTGTCATATCTATTAATTATATCTACTTATAAAACCACCCACAAAAAATATTAGTTTTTAAAATTCAAATTGTAGTCATATATTTTTAAAGAAATTAAGAGGAAAAATAGTCTTTTCTATTTATTTAGATAGTAACCATTTTCAATACCCTTTATTCTTCCTTGAAGATCCAAGTGTTGATCTGGTATTATTTTCCTTTAGCATGAAGAAAAACTTTATAATTTCCTGTAGAGCTCTGATGGCAATGAGTTTTCTCAATTTTGTTTTATCTGAAAATGTCTTTATTTGCCCGCATTCTTGAAGGATATTTTCATTAGCTATAGAATTGAATGTATTTTTTCTTTCAGCACTTTAAGGATGTTTTTATGACTATTGATGAGAAATTAGCAGTCATTCACATATTTGTTCCTTGTATGTAATATGTTGTTTTTCTCTGACCGCTATCTCATTCATTTTGCTTTTCAATAGTTTGACTATGATGTGCTTAGACATGGTCCTGTTCATAATTATTCTGCCTCAGGTTTATTGAGTTTCTTAAATCAATAAATTTATGTCTTTCATCATATTTGGGAAAGGTCCAGCCATTATTTCTTCTAATATTTTTTGTTACATTCTCTCATTCTTTTCCTTCTGTGACTTCAACTGTAAGTATGTTAGACACAGGTTCCACAGGTTCCACAGGTTCCACAGATTCCACAGGTCTCTGAAACCCTTTTCAGATTTTTTCAATTTTGTTTTTCTCTCTGTTCTCAGATTGAGTAAGTTCTATTGACCCAACCTCAAGTTTATGGATTTTTTTCTTGATTCATCATCATTCTGTTAAGCCCATTCCATAATTTTTTCTTTTAGATCTTGTAATTTTTAGTCCTAGAATTTTACTTAATTACTTCTATGATGTCTATAGAAACTCTTGTAGATTCTTCTGAGATTCCCTACTTTTCCATTTATTGCAGGTATGTTTTTTCTTACCTCATCAATCATGCTTATATAGCTGCTTTAAAGTCGTGTTTCCTGATTCCAGGATCTGAGTCATTTTGTGATTCTTTTCCGTTGAGAATAGACTACATTTTCCTGGTTCTTTATATGTCAGATATTCTTGGATTTTTTCTAAGACATTGTCAGTGTTATGCTGTGGAGACTTTGGATTCTGTTGTTTTTTCCAGAGAGTTGGCTTTTTGGTTTGGTTTGGTTTTAGGAACAAGCGAGTTAACTTGGCTGGATGTTAGCTACAAATGCTGTATCTTGGGCAGCAGCTCAAAATCAGTTCACGTCTTCTAGCTCAAGCTGGGCTGGTTTGAATGTGTACCACATATGTGTGATCCAGGGCAGCCAGCAATGTGGGCAGTTTATGCACAGAACTTGAGAATTCCCTTCTCTGACTCTCACTTCTGGGATTCCCTCCTCATTTTCTAAATGGCTTTAGGTGCCCTAAACTGTGTCTCCTGGTCTTCAGGCCAGAAAATATTGCTAATTTCCCACCAAAGTTTTAGCTGCTCTACACACAGTACCAACTGCAGCCTGCCTTCAAATTAACTGTCATAAAAATGGGACACTTTATTTTATATTGTTTCCCTCTTCCAAATGTTGACTCTGCTTCAGAATCTGCCTGCCTTTTTCACTCTCCAGTGTCTGTATGCAGTTTGTGTGTGTGTGTGTGTGTGTGTGTGTGTGTGTGTGTGTGTGTTTTCCAGAGATTATATTTTGTATATGTGAGAGGATGAATTCATAGGAAATTATTTGGTCATAGTGAAAACAGAAGACCAGATTTAAACATTTAAAAAATGTGTTTTTATATAAATAAGACTATAGCAATAAACAGAGCTTGAAATAAAAAAATAAGTTATCCACAATCTTTTTTCAGCTCATCTATAGTCCCTTCCATGTCTTATCTTTATATTCATTTTTAACATTGTTATGACAATGGTACACTTATAATTTTGTATCTTTTTTATATATACCACTTACCAATGGTGTGCTGGAAAATGTTTTAACAACTTGCTCTCTGGGGATGGGGTAAGCCCTAATTGGTAGTGTTTGCCAATTTCTCTCGTGTAAATACTCCCACCATGGCTGATTTCATGCTACTGACATGACATCATGGAATGCAGAGTTGGGAAGAATGCACACAATTGGCTCTCTCAAGCCAGTATGGGCTGAGTCCAGCACACCACTAATTACAGTGGTTGTAAAATATTCTGCCAAATGAGTGGGTAACAGTTTACTCCATTATTTCTACAACATTGAATATTATGGTTATTTTTAATGTTTTATAGTCATAAACGTTTATGCATATCTTTGGTGTTTATCTCTTTTTCCTCAAAAAGTTCATTAGGTCAAAATATATATGAAAAATTTTGTGGTTCATGGTACAAATTGTTGTGGACAAGAGTGGCTTTTTTTCTTTTGAGACAGGGTTTTGTTCTGTCCACCATGCTGGAGTGCAGTGGCATGATCTTAGTTCACTGCAACCTCGACCTCCTGGCTCAAACGATCCTCCTGCCTCAGCCTCCTGAATACCTGGGACTGAAGATGTGTGCCACCATACCCAGCTACTTTTTTTTTTTAATAGAGATGAAGTCTTGCTATGTTGTCCAGGGTGGTCTCAAACTCCTTGGCTCAAGTGATCCTTCCACCTCGGCCTCCCAAAGTGCTGAGATTTACAGGCATTAGTCACTGTGCCCAGCCAAGAGTGACTTTATTTTAAATGCTAATCTACCTGACTAACTTCAAGTCCAGGAACAAAATGTCTAGTTGATGTATTACTCTTTCTGTGGGAATACCTCTTCATTTCAAGTTTTGCTTTTCCTCCAAAGCAACCCTTGATGCTGTTGCAGAAATAGGCTGTGATGCTGGTAGCCACCTACACTTCCCAGAGCACGTATACTTCCAGATACATTATATTCCACATACACTTTCAGAGCACATACACTTTTTCCCCGAGATAGAGGCCCTGGGTTTCGGGGGTTGCAGTACAGAGACCTACGTATCTCGTGGCTGCCCAAGAGCATGCTTCTGTCTTTAAGTTGCCCTAGTAAGTGACCTAAAATCAACAAACTGGATTTGACAGCCTCCTGCTTTGGTTTCTGGACTTCTTTGACACTTGGGCATCACTCTGCGTAAATGGCCCTTTCACGGAACAATTGTAATTTCCAAAAGTATTGTGCCAATTGATATGACCACAGCTCTGTACAAAGGTACCAACAATTTTTTGAAAGGGTGCCAACACCTTTTACCAGGATCCCACTGTAAATATAAAATAAATATTATCAGTGTATTCCTTCTCTTCTCATTTCTGTATTAAGATTCTAACATAAAACTCTGCCAAAGGAACGTTCTGGACTCAACATTATGTTATTCCCCAGCTCCTTTTGGGAAACTTGGCCTTGAACAATGCAACAGTAAGTCCATAGAGCTGCCACATAACCAGCTTATGTCATCTACAAATATCACAAGTGGATAAAGAGCAGAAGTGAAGCGTTTGGCAAAATCCCTTGGAGGGGCTATGTGCTTGTTTCTCTTTATATACCTTATCCAGTTTCTTTCCTATGCCTTTCTCCTCCACTGTTTGAATGTTTCTGTGAGATCAGAAGGAGTTCCATTTCACTTTCATCTCCCTAATAGTTTTTTTTTTTTTTGAGACAGAGTCTTGCTCTGTCGCCCAGGCTGGAGTGCAGTGGCACAATCTCAGCTCACTGCAACCTCTGCCTCCTGGATTCAAGCAATTCTCTGCCTCAGCCTCTTGAGTAGCTGGGATTACAGGCGTGCACCACCACGCCCAGCTATTTTTTGTATTTTTAGTAGAGACAGATTTTCACCATGTTGGCCAGGCTGGTCTCAAACTCCTGACCTCGTGATCCGCCCACCTTGGGCTCCCAAAGTGCTGGGATTACAGGCGTAAGTCACCGCGCCGACCTCATCTCCCTGATAGTTTTATCTCCTACTTTCCATTTCGGGGAAAAATGGCATTTGGGGACTGAGAGGAGGAGGAGAGAAGGTATTTGGAGAGGAGAATGTAGTATCTACTTGTGCTGTTATTTTCCTGATCCTTTTATCTTTGGTGACCAGGATGACATGTTGAACTCAGCATGGCTTTCAGCCAGAGCATACCTGTTTCCCATAGACCTCCGATTGGCAGGGGTTAATCATGAAACAGCCTCTTGGCCATCTAGGGGTGCTCCTTCCCCCGACTGTGAACTGCAAAGAGCAGGACCCCTGGTAAACAAGTGCTTGGTAAATGCTGGCTCCTTCCCTCCTCTTCCCTTTGCTGGGAAGCAGGCAGGCTGGTTGGATCCAGGGAAGCAGTTTCGTATGGTAGAATAAAACATGAGCTTGGAGTCAAGTCAAACTAATTGGATTCCTAGGTCCTCAGCTGACCTGTGTTTGATCCTGGACAAAGTCCTTGAGCTCCCTGACTCCTGCTTTTCACTGGGAGAACACTACCTCTCTTTGGTCACAATGAGGCTTATTGATCTATTTTTGTTTTGTTTTGTTTTGTTTCTAGATGGAGTTTTGCTCTGTTGCCCAGGCTGGAGTATAGTGGCACAATTACAGCTCACTACAGCCTTGACCTCCTAGACTCAAGTGATCCTTCTACCTCAGCCTCTTGAGTAGCTGGGACAACAGCCACAGGCTACCAGCCCTGGCTAATTTAAAATTTTTTTTTGTAGAGATGGGGTCTTGTTATGTTGCCCAGGCTGGTCTTGAACTCCTGGGCTCAAGTAATCCTCCCACCTTGGCTGTCCAAAGTACTGGGATTAGAGGCATGAGCCACCCACCCAGCTTATCTGATTTTTGTAAAGTTGCCCCTTCCCAAATCACCTACACAAAAAGCCCTACGTCACCAAAGAACTTTTACAGGAAACTCACATTGGAAGACTTACTGCTTCTTCTTGGGCTACCCTGGAGGGTGACATTCAGCAAATGGCAGGACAGCATCAGGCCCTGGTTTCCCTTCCTTCATCTAGCCAGATGACAGCTGCAGACACTATGGCTGGAGGAGCACCCCATGGGGACCAAGCCTCTATGTGGATTCATATTACTATTGCCCCAGGAAAGTAAACCCAGGCTGGGAGTCTGTCAGGCCTCTTGGGGACCGGGTGGAGGTGGAAGTTACTGCTTACGCTTACGAAGGAAGCGATCTCAGAAGGCAGAGGCCATTGCTGCGAGCTAGACAGACGCTCTCCCTCTGTGCTCATCTCTAGCTTGCTGGGGATCTCCTCACTGGCCAGGTATTACAGGATGGACTCCATCCATAAGGAAAAAACCATGACTCCCACTCAGACAGCGCCTGACTGTCCATGCAGCACTTGCTGCCTCCTTTGATGGAAGTAGGCAGGGCAAGCATGACTAAGATGATGGTGGTGAAGAGACCAAGGCTATAAAAGCTGCTTGGGTTACCTGCCTAGTGAGTAAGAACATACTCCACAGCCCAACCTGAACCCAGCAGACCACCCCCAGGACCGCGCCAGGAAGGTGAAAGAGGCAGCAGAGGCCAGTTCCTTCCTGGGGCAGCGGGCTCCGCTTCTATCATCAGGTTGCTTCCCAGGCTCCAGGGTGAGCCATTCTATACCCTTTTCTCGCTCCTCAAGCCTCCAGCATGCTTTCTTCCCCCTTGTACATTCACACAAGACCTCACTTCGGTCACTTTGATGACAAAATAGAAGCCATCAGACTGGAACTCCTTTTCCTCCCACCATCAAGCTAGAAGCCACCTCGCGCCCAGACTCATCTTCTGTCTTCCCTCCTGCCCCTTCCTCCCATCAACACCGGCCCCTCCACTTGCACTCTGGATCCCACTTTGCTGCTGGTCCCCCAACCCCACTCGCAAATCTCACTTTTTCTCCCCCACAAGGTCAATTCCTTCAGCAAACAACCTGCTCTCTGTCTCTCACTAAAACAAAGTGGAACTCTTGTATGAACATACACCCTTCTCCAGATACTGCCCCATTTCCTCCCCCCTCTTCAAAACTTGACAAGAGTTGTCTGTCTTCACTGCATCATCACCCTGACCTTCATGGCCTGCCCCACTCCCGTCTGCGTTCTGATCTCACCATTCCACTGAAACTGCTGGTCGAGGTCAGTGGCAGTCTCTGCGTTGCCCCATTCAAAGGTTATGTCTGTCTTCCTCTGACTCAACCTCTCAGCAGCTTGCAACACAGCTGATGGCCCCCTCCTTCTTGAAACACGTTCTTCCTTCAGCTTTTAGTTTAAACCACATACATTCACTGGCTTGCTGCAATAACAGATTACCACAGATTTTGTGGCTTACAACTATGCAAATTTATTATTTTATAGTTCTGTAGTTCAGAAATCCAACATGGGGCTCACTGGGCTAAAATCAGAGTGTTGGCAGAGTTAGATTCTTTGCCAGAGGTTCTAGGGGCAAATCCATTTCCTTAATCATTCAGTTTATTAGAAGAATTCAGTCCTTGCGGCTGAAGGACTGAGGTCCTGTGTCTGGGCTGGCTGTCAGCTGAGGGCCGTTCCCAGTTTCTAGAGGTCACCTGAATTTTTGGCTTCTCCATCTTGAGAGCCGGCAGTGGTGGGTCAATTCTTCCTCGTGTTTTACATCTTCTGAGCCCCTTTCATCATCACACCTCTCTGACTCCCACTGCTGCCTTGTGTATTTGTAAAGAATCGGGTGGTTAGATTGGGCCCACTGAGATAATCCAGGATAATTTCTCCATCCCAAACTCCTTAACCTCAGTTGCACCTGCAAGGTCCCTTTTGTCACCTAAGGTAACATATTCACATGTTCCTCAGATTAGGGTATGGACATTCTGGTGCCCACTGTTGAGCCTACCATGTCATCTGCTTGTTCTCTTCCTACTTCCCCAGCAACTCCTTCTCAGTCTCCTTTACTGGCTCTTAATCATCCCACAGCTCTGAATGTGAGAGGCCCTCAGCCATCAGCCTTCAGCCTTCTTATCTCCTACATGTTCTCTGCAAGCAATCCCATCCGATTTTGTCCCTTGTAAATACCATCTGCAGGCTGGCGTGGTGGCTCATGCCTGTAATCCCAGCACTTTGGAAGCTAAGGTGAGTGGATTGCTTGAGCTCAGGAGTTTGAGACCAGCCTGGGCAACATGGAAAAAGCTGTCTCCACTAAAAATATAAAAAATTAGCCAGGTGTGGTGGTGCATGCCTGTAGTCCCAGCTCCTCAGGAGGCTGAGGTGGGAGGATGGCTTGAGCCCAGAAGATGCCACTGCACTCCAGCCTGGGTGACAGCGAGACTCTTGTCTCAAATAATAATAATAATAACATAAATAAATAAATACATCTGTGAACCACTGCTCCTAAATTTATATTTTTAGCCCTAAATTCACTCTTGAGTTCAAAATTCATGTATCTGACTCAATATTGCCATTGGAATAAATGACTGCCATCTTGAAGTTGACATGTCCTAACTGAAACTGTGGGTTTTCTTTACAAACTCTATTTCTCCCCTAGTCTGGACTCATTCAGTAAAGACATCACACCAGCTTGCTACTCAGGCCCCAGACCTAGGAGTCATGCCAGAGCCCTGTTTATTTTTCTTTTTTTTTTGAGACAGAGTCTCGCTCTGTCGCCCAGGCTGGAGTGCAGTGGTGCGATCTCGGCTCACTCTAACCTCCACTTCCCCAGGCTCAAGCGATTCTCCTGCCTCAGCCTCCCAAATAGCTGGGACTACAGGTGCGTGTCACCACGCCTGGCTAATTTTTGTATTTTAGTAGAGATGGGGTTTCACCTTGTTGGCCAGACTGGTCTCGAACTCCTGACCTCAAGCGATCTGCCCGCCTCGGCCTCCCAAAGTGCCGAGTTTATAGGCGTGAGCCACCGTGCCCGGCCTCATCAGCCGTTTTCTTGAACACCCTCTCCCTGATTCTTACACAGTCAATTCCTCCACATTATTCAGGTCTCAGGTTTTTTGTTATTCGTTGTTTGTTTTCCCCGCTCAGGTCTCAGTTTTACAGTTGTCTCCTGAGAGAGGTCTTGGCAGTCCTCCTGAGAGTAGTTCTTCCCTTCTGCCTGGCCCAGCCTGCACCCCACCTTCCTGCAGAGTCATTCTCTCTTGATTTTCCCTGTTTGATTTCCTTCACTCCCCTTGTCTCCATCTGGAATGATAATGCTTATTTCTTTGTTTCCTTGTTAAATATCTTCCTTCTCACCTCCCACCCTGACTGCTGTGCCAAGAAGGTGCATGAAGGCAAGAATCGCCGTCTGTCTTTCTCACTCCTGTTACCGGGGGCCTAGAAACATGCCTCCCTAGTGCATGTTTTTTGGGTGGATTCGCAGCGAATGCCCCACGTTCCCTCTATCCCACTCCCTTCTGCTCCCTGCTTTCCCACACTTTCTCTTCCTTTACAAGCTCTGGCCTGAGAACGGATGAGTTTTTTATTTTTTTTCCAGCACTCAATCTGTTAACGACTTTGAAGATCCCTGACTAAAACCAAATAATAATTACACTAATTACACTTAATTGTGAGCATTTATATCACACTTACTATTTCCGAGCACCGCCATAAGCACCTTACTCATCCTGAATAGGCACGCTGTTCCTCGGTTATTCCTCACTGTAATCATCTCCATTCACAGAGGAGGAAGGCGAGGCACAGAGAGACTAATGTGCCCAAAGTTCCACAATAAGGAAATGGTGGCAGCAACCTCCCGAGAGCCAGGCCTGACGGGCCTCTGCCAGGGCCCCACGCTTTAGATGGCCTGCTCTGGCCTCTGTCTGGCGGTGCCCTCCCCACAAGGCAAGGAGCCCTCGGAGCCAAGGGGAAGGCTCACTTCCTGCTTGTGGACTACACTTGGGAGCACACACTGTGGAATTCCAGCCCACACAGCCATGAGGCTGCTGCCAGGGCCTCTCCCCAGGCCTGTCTTCCTTTGGGTGCATGCTGCCACCTCAGTGGGCCCAAATGGTGGCCGCAGGGCAGCTCTTTATGAAAAGTGTGGACAGAATTTGAACCAGCAGTCTCACTGTCCACACGTGGCCCCTTTGAAGGTGTGACAGAGCAGGGCGTGGGAAGAGGAGGGCGAGCCATGGGCCTCCCCACACTCCCTCCTCCAGACACAGAACTGTGTGGAGCCCCAGAGTTCTGCATTCACACCTGGCCTTCCAGGTCATTGAGAAGTTTATGTGTCAACGTAGGAGGGTGGAGTGTATTCTCCTTATGTCTGTCGGCTTGACTGACAGCTTTAAAGTATTTTAAATATTTAGACATGTGGTCTGTGGCCTCCTTCCATCCTCCCCTCTGGGCCCACAGATCCTGGGGTGGGTCTGAGTGGCAGAGCTAGGCGTGGACCCAAGAAGCCTGGCCCGGGCTCCCTCCCATGCTGCACCCGGGAAGCCTTTGTGTTCCGAGCCACGCGCCTTCCCAGAGGATGCCCTGCACCTTGGCTGTCCAGTCCTGTCCCCCATTTGCTTCTCCCCTGGGAGCTCAAATATGGGTCATTCCCACCGTATCCAGCAAACTGCACGACGCTCTCTCATGGGAGGCCTGCTCTTGCTGGCATCCTGAGCTGGTCACCAGTGATCCGTAGAGTGGTTCGAAGCGTATGTTTTGGGTTTGAATGCCAGTTCCACCACTTATTAACTGTGACATCAGGCAAATTATGTAAGCTCTTAGCCTATTTTGTGTTCTGTTTTCAAGGATTAAGTGGGAATGTCTACACATTCAGTAAATGTTTGTCATCGTCATGGCACTCCACCATTTGCTCTGCGGTCTGGGGACAATGCCCTGTGGCTCAGCCGTTTCTCCAGGAAGCTGCCTCAGGTGGACGCCAAGCACAGAGCTGGCAGGAGCAGGGACTAAAATAAACAGCCACAGAGTCCCCAGTGGGAAGTCCTAGGCCCTGGGCACAGCTGAGCTGGAAGGGATGAGGTGACCCGTTTTCCCTGCAGTGCTCAAAGTGGGATTCTTATGAGCTGCTGGGAGCCATGCAGTCCTGGAACGTGGCAGGCACGTCACCACCTTGAGGATTCTCTATGTACTTCCCTGCAAAATTCTTCTGCCTGTGACATGTGCCACCTGCCATCTTCCCCTTTGCTAATAATGATTGCACCACACACTCAGACACAAACACACATTCACAGACATGCAAATTGTTTTCAATTCTTTTTTTTTTTTTTTTTTTTTTGAGGTGGAGTCTTGCTCTGTTGCCCAGGCTGGAGTGCAGTGGTGTGATCTCGGCTCACTGCAAGCTCCGCCTCCCGAGTTCACGCCATTCTCCTGCCTCAGCCTCCCGAGTAGCTGGGACTACAGGCGTCCGCCACCATGCCTGGCTAATATTTTTGTATTTTTAGTAGAGATGGGGTTTCACCGTGTTAGCCAGGATGGTCTCGATCTCCTAACCTCGTGATCCACTCGCCTTGGCCTCCCAAAGTGCTGGGATTACAGGCGTGAGCCACCATGCCCGACCTGTTTTCAGTTCTTTTTAATAGCTAAATATAAAGCATCCCTTGACAAGAGTTTAATTTGTCATATTGAGAAATGAAGGCTGCCTTTCAACTCACTATGAAACCTACCTTGAGCAAAGTATTACAGTGGGTGGGGCTAAGGAAGAAAGCAGCAGGGATTTCTAAAGAACAGGATGTTGAGGCTGACATTCTTTTGTTTACCCTATTTGGGAAGAAGTGGGGTCTGAATTCATGTGGCAGAACTGAACCTGCGCCGTCCTAACCTGGGCGCAGTGGCTCTCAGAAGGGCGTGGTCCCAGTGCAGGCTGCAGACCCAGTTGGTTTTCTCTTTTCTCTGCTCCAACACCTGGAAGTCAGGCCTGAGTCATCTGTTTTCAGCAGATACAAGCTTTAGGTCTGAGATGTGAACCTGCTGGGCGTCTGGGGATAGACGTGACAAATGGTTTCCGATCCAGCTCCACCACTTACTAGCTGATGATATTGAGCAAGTTAATTACCCTCCTGGTGCCTCAACCATCTCGTCTATTAAATATGTCTACTAACAGTTTCTGTTTCACAGGGTAATTTGTGGATTAGGTGAACAAATACTTGTAAAACAAGTGACTAGCAAGAGTAAACAGTCATGTTGCTTATCATCGCTATTAACAACGCCAAGAGACCAGGCCAGAGGCTGGGGAAATGCCACCATATTCGCATTTTCAATAGCCCCCAAGTGATCCCGACGCTGGCCTGAGGAGGGTGTGTAATGGGGACGTGAGCCCAGGCTGTGGGGGGCGCCTTGCAGCCCACTAGGGGCTTGGGTTCTATTCTGAACAAATGGGGTGGCATGTAAAGATTCTAGTTTTGCCATGGAGAGTCCTTGGGGTCTTTTCTAGGATGTGGTGGTCTGGCTGGCGACTGAGGGTGTCCACTCAGAAGTGCCAAAGGAGGAGGTGGAACGTGTTCTGAGGCCCGAGGAAGATGTTCCAAGAAATGGAACAATGGACGAATAGAAACATAGGAGTAAAGGCATCTGGAGAGGGCCTGGCTGTGGGAGCCAGACAGACCCAGGTGAGGCCAGGTTGTGTCACTCACAAGCTCTGTGTTCTTGAGCAAGATCCTTAACCTTTTTAACTTCAGTTCCCTCACCTGTAGAATGGGGCTGACCTCAGAAGGTGGTCATGAGGGCTGCATACGATGATATATGTCAAGGGCTCCCACGAGGTAAGCTTGGCGGGCAGCCCTATCTGTTGTGAAGGAATTTTTTTTTTTTTTTTTTTTTTTTGAGGCAAGAGTCCTGCTCTGTCACCCAGGCTGGAGTGCAATGGCGCGATCTCGGCTCACTGCAACCTCTGCCTCCCGGGTTCAAGCGGTTCTCCTGCCTCAGCCTCCCGAGTAGCTGGGATTACAGGTGCATCCCACCACATCTGGCTGATTTTTGTATTTTTAGTAGAGACGGGGTTTCACCATGTTGGCCACGCTGGTCTTGAACTCCTGACCTCAGGTGATCGACCCACCTCGGCTTCCCAAAGTGCTGGGATTACAGGTGTGAGCCACTGTGCCTGGCCTGTTGTGAAGGTTTTTGTTGGGCAGTTGGAGAAGTGAATGTGGCGGCTGTCAGGGTCAGCATTGTCCAGGAGGGAGAGAGGTGGCATGGAGACAGGAGCAGCCCAGGCATGAGTGGGAAGAGAGGATTTCCCGGGCCCACCATTCCTGGGTGAAATGCTCCTCAAGACTTGGCTCCATTTCTGTGCTAACCAAACTTACCACCAATTATTGCTGTGCCTCGGGGGATAGGCAAGGGGAGGGGCGTGGCTGTGGAAAGAGGATGGGGCAATTGGGATTCACTCTGAGTTAGTAAGATGGCTTTCTGGCTCATTCTTCCAATTCACGTGACTTATTCTGACTTCTCCAGAGGGCCTGCTCATCTGTGGGAGCACGGATGTGTTCTGGTTTCTAACCCTATCAGGTTGGGGGGCAGACCCTGGTGGTGGCAAATTGTCCCAAGTAGTTAAGGCCCCTCAGTGAGGCCTCTTGACAGTGGCCAGTGGACCTTACCCCAGCCACCTGCCTCCCACCACTCAGACGTTCTTCCCTGCCAGCACAGCTGTCACTGTGAGGTTGCTGAAGAACTGACAGGAGAAATCATTTGTTAAATGCAGCTTCAAATGTCCATGGTGTAGTCCCATCACACCTCTCCAGCCCCATTGCCCCAGCCTTCCAATCAAAACAGCCTGCCTTTCTGCTTCTGCTCACACCTCCCTCCGCATGAAACACCCTCCTAGGCCTCCTCTTGAAAGGGCTCTTAGTACCATAAGCCACAGTTGTCTTTCCCACCGCGGAAGACCCTGAATCTATAAAAGCCGTGAGGCGGCCCAGCTCCAGTCTTCCTCATCTCCATCAACGGCACACCAGCCACCACGATGCTCAGGCCAAAGTCCTCTTTCCCTCACCACCCATATTCAGTCCACGCTCTCTAAAGACAGCCCATCTCTCCATTCACAGCCAACTCTCTAGCCCAGTTACCATCATCGCCTGCAATAGCTTCTTAATGCATGTTCTGCTTCAACACCTGCCCTATTAAAATCCATTCTGCACTCAACTTGGTCATGTCGCTCTCCTGCTTACGACTCGCCAAGGTGGAATATTGTACCTCGAATAAATCCCAAACCATCCTGTGGCCCATGAGGCCCTGTTGGATCCTGGCGGATCTCAGTGTCTACCACTCTCCCTTGCTCACTGTGCTGTGGCCGCACTGGTCTTCTTTCTATTCCTCGTTCCATCTTAGAGCCTTTGCACTGGCCGTTCCCTTTGCCTGGAATGCTCTTCCATCAGATCTTTTCGCAACGGGCTTCTCATCTTTCAGGTCTTAGCGCCAGTGTTAGCTTCTCAGAAAGGCCTCCCCTGACCTTCTTGTATAAAGTAGCTCCTGGCTGGGCGCGGTGGCTCACGCCTGTAATCCCAGCACTTTGGCAGAATGAGGCGGGCGAATCACGAGGTCAGGAGATCGAGACCATCCTGGCTAACACGGTGAAACCCTGTCTCTACTAAAAATACAAAAAATTAGCTGGGTGTGGTGGCGGGCTCCTGCAGTCCCAGGTACTCGGGAGGCTGAGGCAGGAGAATGGTGTGAACCTGGAAGGCGGAGCTTGCAGTGAGCCGAGATCGCGCCACTGCACTCCAGCCTGAGTGACAAAGCGAGACTCCGTCTCAAAATAAATAAATAAATAAAATAAAGTAGCTCCTGCCCCCCACCCCCTATTTTATATCATCCGTTCTAGGTGCTTCACAGATCTTACCACTGTTCTGTTTATGCAGTGGCTTACTAGCTTATTGTCTGTCTTCCTACACTGGAATGTAAGCTCTTTCAAGACGGATCTTGATTTCTTGTTTTCTTTTGGGATCCACAGTGCATAGACCAGTGCCAGCAAATAGTAGATATCTGTGGAATGAATGAATGAATGAACCCAGCCCTGGATGGGCATTACCTAACGGTGTCCTTTACTTATTAACACGTGTGTGTTTTGTCTACACAGCCTGATCATAAGTCATGCTAGGGCAAGGACTGCCCTCCTGGGAAATTTGAAGACCTTCTGGCCAATGAATGAGGTCAGGAATGATGGCTTCTTCTCTGGTGATTTAGGCTGGAGAAATTGCTCCATTTGGGGGCTGTTTCACATGCAATTGTGCCCAAGGGTGGAAGGATGGAAAAGATGAGTGTTCAAGGCCCTTCTGGTCATAGTAGAACATGCGGAAGGGTGTTGGTGTGATGATGCAACAGGTCGGCAATGACTACTCAGTTACACCTTTATTTATTCATAAACTCATGATTTTGCCAAGAAAGTCAGCAGCTTAGGATACATTTATTCATTGGCAGACACTGCTGGTTGTGAAATTGACAGCTGTTTCCCCACTCTTCTTCTTTACCCAAAGAACCTACCTTCTACTTTTACAGCCCAAAGTTCTAGACACTTGCTCTCTGAGTCTCCCTTATGATTTGTGGTGATCATTCGTGAGCCCCATTCCTGGCCAATGACACATGAAGGCAAGTTTGCCAGGGACTCCTAAAAACATTTTTTTTAATTTAAAAGAATTACTTTTTAAACTTTTTTGCTCTTATGAACACTTTCCTAACACAGTAATTTTAATGTTATTTTTTAAATTGTCCATTTTTAAAAAAATTATTTGATTTATTTTAAAGGTGTAATTTCTCAGAATAATTTTACTCTCTGATGAAAGGAGGGAATAAGGTAACGAGATGTTCCCTCCCTCCCTTCTCACATTGGACCTTGTGTGAGGACGGGACACTGGAGCTGCTGTGGCCACCTGGACCAAGAGAATCAAGGAGGAGCTGACCCAAACCCTGATGCTGCAAAGCCATTGGCCAGCGCTGGCATTGTCCGCCTCTGGAGTCCTTGTTACAAGAGAATTATAAACTCCTGTTGTTGAGACTTTGAGGCAAGTAACTTGTTTCTTACAGTTAAATGCATATTAGCTTGCCCTCAGGTCTTCTCAGTAATTTACTTTTCATAATGGTTATTTCACACATTGAGATCCTTAGCTTTTTCATTTATTTATTTATTTGAGAAGTAAAGAAACAAGAGAACGACTACTCTATAGGCAGAGAAACCCTTAGCTGTTTTTATAAACAAAGAGATAGAAACCGAAATGATCTTGTTTCCATTTGCTGGCCCCTCTTTGAAGAGCAAAACCCTTCAAGGGTTCAGCTTCTTCATTGGAAACCAGCAGATCCTCCCATCTTCTGTTCTGGGTCTCCCCAAATCATAAAAATCCTGCAAATACCTCTTAAACCCTCATGTTATGTATAGTTTGGGAAGTAGAATTAACAAGATAATGATCTCTCAAGTCAGAAGCAGGGATAATACAATCTTGCAGCTCCCAAGGAATTCTTTATTTTTAATTTTTAATTTTTTTGAGGCAGGGTCTCATTCTGAGACCTCATTTGAGGCAGGCTGGAGTGCAGTGGCCTAATCACAGCTCACTGCAGCCTCGATCTTAGCACCCACCAACCCCAGTAGCTGGGGCTACAGGTGCACACTACCAAGCCCAGCTAATTTTTCTTTTTACTTTTAGTAGAGATGAGGTCTTGCTATGTTGCCCAGGACGGTCTTGAATGCCTGAGCTCAAGCAGTCCTCCCACCTTGTCCTCCCAAAGTGCTGGGATTACAGGTGTGAGCCACCACTCCCAGTCAGAATTCTTGAGTAAGTGCCTTTTCTACCCCTTTTCTCTAAGTGAAGAAGTTCAACTTTGAGACTTGCAGTAGGAATTCAAAGTTCTAATTCCATTTGGCTCATCTAATTGTTTGAATTAATTTTCTCAAAACAGTAGCAGTAGCACTGACAGACCAGTTGGGGAAGTTATTTAGATGATAATTATTTTAAAAAATATTTTGACTGTATTTAAAATGGGTCATCACACATACCCGTTTGTGTTGTGGAAACTAAGAATCCTGTAACGCATTTAGAGTTAAAAGACTGGTTTTGATTTCCTGACATGTATTCTTCAGGTGAAAGGATAAGTTGCATAAAACATATTTTCATGTGGTACCCCTTTTTTTTCCTTGAGACAGAGTCTTCCTCACTGCAATCTCTGCCTCCCAGGTTCAAGCGATTTTCCTGTCTCAGCCTCCCGAGTAGCTGGGATTACAGGGGCGTGCCACCACACCAGGCTAATTTTTGTATTTTTTAGTAGAGATGGGGTTTCACCCTGTTGGCCAGGCTGGTCTTGAACTCCTGACCTCAAGTGATCCACCCACTTTGGCCTCCCAGAGTGCTGGGATTACAGGCATGAGCCACCATGCCCAGCCCATGTGGTACTCTTGTTCAAAACAGAGGCGCAAGAAAATGTGATTCATACTCACAAAAGGTGCCAGTATCACAACAACAAAATATACTTTAATAGAAAATAGAGTTACAGGCCGGGTGCGGTTGTTCATGCCTATAATCCCAGCACTTTGGGAGGCTGAGGCAGGCAGATCACATAAGGTCAGGAGTTCGAGACCAGCCTGGCCAATATGATGAAACTCCATCTCTACTAAAAATACAAAATTAGCCAGGCATGGTGGTGGGTGCCTGTAATCCCAGCTACTTGGGAGGCTGAGGCAGGAGAATCGCTTGAACTGGAGGTGGAGGTTGCAGTGAGCCAAGATCGAGCCACTACACTCCAGCCTGGGCGACAAGAGCAAAACTCTGTCTCAAAAAAAAAAAAAAAATTAGAGTTACAGAACCAAGAGAAAGAAATCTTGGCCTCCCTGGTGTAGTTCTACACAGATTGACACACGGAGGCTGCTGGTTAGTGACACAACCTGACAATTCTTTTCCCTATACTGTCTGCCTACACCAAATGCACATCTTTTTCTTTTAATACAAAAAAGCACTAAGAATGCTTGAATTGTGTTAAATATACCACTTAAATTATGCACAACAGCAAAGCTTTTTAATTACTTTGAGTCTAATTTATACTTGAAATAAAAAATATTTTGTTTAAAAAGCCCCAACCCAAATTTAGCTTCTTAATTTCAGCAGATAATAGAATTGGAATAGTTTTTAAATTATAAAAGGGAGTATAATTTTATCTAAATGTGCCCCGTGCAGCACTTAGCAGAGAGGGAAATTAAGACATGTGGAATATGTCCTCTTTGGTGATGCTTTGTTATTTGGGAGAGAATATTAATTTTTATTACCAGATGATACTTGTACATAGCAAAAAAAGGTTTTTACACACACACACACAACATACACATACACACAGACACACACACACACACACACACACACACACACACACACACACACACTGAGTCAATTTCAGCCCCATTCCTCTCATCATCATCCCACTTGCCAAGGGCACACATTGTTAACCATTTCATTTTAACGTCTTTGTTCTGGTGTTCAACTCTGTATTAAATATATATATATGCTGACCAGGCACGGTGGCTCACGTCTGTAATCCCAGCACTTTGGGAGGCTGAAGCAGGCAGATCATCTGAGGTCAGGAGTTCAAGGCCAGCCTGGCCAACATGGTGTAACCCCGTCTCTACTAAAAATACAAAAATTAGCTGGGTGTGGTGTAATCCCAGCTACTTGGGAGGCTGAGGCAGGAGAATCACTTGAACCTGGGAGGCAGAGGTTGCAGTGAGCTGAGATCAGGCCACTACACTACAGTCTGGGCAATAGAGCAAGACTCCCTCTCAAAAATAATAATAATAAATAAATAAAATAAAATAAAAATTAAAAATATATATGCTGACTCTTGAGTTATTAGTTTCAGACTTTAGCTACTGACTTCCTGTATTACTCAAGGTTCCCCAGATAGTAGAACCAGTAGGATTTGCATGTGCGTATACATATATGTGCATTTGTGTGTGTGTGCACATGTAAATTGGCTCATGCAGTTGTGAGGGCTAGCGAGAAGCAAACTTGCAGAGCAGGCTGGCAGGCTGGAGACCCAGGAAAGAGTTGATGTGCAGCTGGAGTCTGCAGGCAGAGGCCCACCACATTGTGGAGGGGAATCTGCTGTATTCAAAATCTACCCATTTAACTGTTAATCTTACCTGAAAAATATCTTCACAGAAACATCTAGACTGATGTTTGACCAAATAGCTGGGTATTGTTGTCTAGCCAAGTTGACACATAAAATTAACCATCACACTTCCTAATAGGGTAGATGCAGACTTAGCTGATACTTCCCTTCCTCTGTCTTCCCAAAGTAGTGACATCACAATATTCGATGTTTACATTATTGTAACTATAAATATTGTTCATTGCTGAGCCAAGAAGCACACCATGGTTGTTCCTTACTTGTATGGTGCTTTGTTTTTCCTTTTATTATTATTATTTTTGAGACAGTCTTGCTCTGTCACTCAGGCTGGAGTGCAGTGGCATGATCTTGGCTCACTGCAACTTCCACCTCCCAGGCTCAAGTGATTCTCCTTTCTCAGCCTCCCGAGTAGTGGGGACTATAGGTGCCCACCACCACGCTCAGCTAATTTTTGTATGTTTTGTAGAGATGGGGTTTCACCATGTTGGCCAGGCTGGTCTCAAATCCTCATTTTTTCATTACTCGCTCTTCTTGGAATCTAATATTAAGTCTTTCCTCACTCTTTTTTCCTCATGTTGTTAAAAAATGAGTATTTGCTCCCCTCTCCTCCTTTCTTGCGGGAGACCTTCCTTCCTGTTCTGGACTGGACTGCTGGCTCTCTAGGCCTGCCAGACAGCGGTCATCCTGGGAATGTCCCTCACCCTCACGCTTTTCCCGGGTTGGATTCCCTGCTTCTGGACCTCCAGTCTTTATGCTTCATGGTTGATGCCCTCTGAGAAAGGATGCATGGGAAGCATGCTTTTCTGAAAGCATGCATTTCTGAAAATGCCCATATTCTACCTTTACACTGGATTCACAGGTTGGCTGAAATAATTTTTACTGTTTTTGAAAATGTTGCTCTATTTTCTTAAGTCTCCAATGCTGCTCTTCAGGGCAGTAATGACATTTTATTCCTAACCTTTTACATGTGGTGTTTTATTTTTCCTCTTTAGAAACTTTTAGGATTTTTTTTTTTTTTTTTTTGAGACAGAGTGGTCTCCATTGCCTAGGCTGGAGTGTAGTGGCGTGATCTTGGTTTGCTACAACCTCCTCCTCCTGAGTTCAAGGGATTCTCCTACTCAGCCTCCTGAGTAGCTGGGATTACAGGCATGCACCACCATGCCTGGCTAATTTTTGTATTTTTAGAAGAGATGGTGTTTCACCATGTTGGTCAGGCTGGTCTCAAACTCCTGACCTCGTGATCCACCTGCCTCAGCCTCCCAAAGTGTTGAGATTACAGGCGTGAGCCACCGTGTCCAGCCGGATAATTTCTTTACCTATGGAGTTGACATTTCATAATGATATGTCCTAGTGTGGGTTTATTTTCATCTATTATGCTGGGTACTCATTAGACCATTTCCAACTGGAAAATCACATATTTAAGTTCTGGAATTTTTTCTTGTATAGTTTTGTGTTTTCTCTATTCTTTTTAGATATCCAGTTAATTTGACATTGGATTTCCTGGATTGGTTCGCTAATTTTATCTATTTTTTGTTGTTGTTTTACTTTCCAGATTTCTTCAACTTTATTTTCAGACTTTCTATTGAATTTTGAATTACGGTTGCCTACTTTTAATTTTCAAGAGTTTAATCATGACTTCTGACTCGTTAATCTTTTAGGGCATCCTAATCCCATTTCATGATGCAATATTATTTCAGCTGAGGATTTTAATTATAGTTTGAAAATCTCTTATGAGGTTTTCTTCTGTGCCATGCAGTTGTTTCACCAGAATCCCTCTTTTTTCTTTTTGATTTGGCCTATTTCATATTGGTGCCTTCCCTCTGAAGTCTGGAGATGGGTGGCTATTTGTTCACATATGAGCGATGTGCTAAAAATGTGATGAGCAACTCAGTGCGCATGGGTGGGGCTTTTTGGCTGGTGGATTTCATGGGAAGGAGATTGGGGGCAAGCCAGCTTTTTCTTTGGAGACCTCTCCAAATGACAGTAACTATAGGCCTTTCCTCTGTGGCCAGTTTTTCCAGAGGAGGGTCCTCCAGTCTCCTTCCTGTGGGAGAGGGTTGTGGCTAAGCCTGGCTGGGTCCCTCACTCCATCCATCAACTTTAACTTCATCCTTATCTTCAGTCTGTTGCCTGACTTCCATGCTTCATTGTGTCTAGAGTCCTCAAGTTCAGGACCTCTGTGGTTTAACTTCTCCAGAGAATTACTCACCTCCTGAGAGCACTGAAGAGAGCACAGGCAGTCACCTGGATCCGCTGGGAGGGGTGGGTACCTGGGTGGTCTAACTGTTCCAATCAGACTTGCCATCAACTTCTCTATTTTCTTCCCTGTTGGGAAAGGCAATCGTGTGCAGCTTCCTGCCCTTGCACAATCACGTGAGAATGGGCCTGGAACACTTCCTTACTGAGAGATAAGAGCACTACAGCCTGTGCGGGGCTTATCTCCATGAGCGGGAATATCTTGTCCTACTGCAGACTCAACGTGTACTCCTTTGTTCTGCTTAAGCTCATGTGTCAATGGTCCTCATACACACCCAGCTTTCTGCCTTTCAGACCCCATGGCGGAGACGGAGGGTCCTTCCACTGCAGCACAAAGTGGGGCACTTGCAGTCACATCGCCTGTGTTCACGGTGGAGCGGATCTACTGCCCTTGTAGGGCTGATGCATTGCAAGGGGCTGAACCTCCTGCACTGTCTCCTCTTGGTGTAAATAAACACTGTGCCACCTGAGCCTGATGTGTGTGTTGTCTGTCCTCAGTGACCTTGAGTCATGCACTGGTCTCTTCCCTGGGAGGCACGTATCTGCCTTTTGACCTTGGCTGCACAGCCTGGACACCCAGCGAATGGTGAAACAATCTCCGTGTTTTGCACCTTTTACTGTGGCAGCCAGTGCCTCCAATTCCTGAGCTTTGCTGGGACTTTGTAGGGCATTAGCTGTTTCTCCTCAGCAGAGTCATGCATGCTTAACCACTGGGATATGTTCTGAGAAATGCATCGTTAGGTGACTTCATTGTTGTGTGAACATCGTAGAATGCACTCACACAAACCTAAATGGTATAGCTTGCTACACACCTACGCTATATGGTGTAGTCTATTGCTCCTAGACTACAAAGCTGTACAGCATGTTACTGTACTGAACGTTGTAGGCAGTTGTAACACAAATGGTAAGAATTTGTGGTATCTAAACAAACTTAAATATAGAAAACAGTAAAATCACAGTATAAAAGATAGAAAATGGAATGTGTATATAGGGCACTTACCATGAATGGAGCTTGCAGGACTGGAGGCTGCTGTGGGTGAGTGGGGAGTGAACATGAATGGCTAGGACATTACTGTATACTTTTATACAACTGGCAGCACAGTAGGTTCGTTTACACCAGCCAGCGTCACCATAATCTCGCGAGTAATGTGTCACACTACAATGTTACAATGGCTATGACCTCCTTAGGTGATAGAACACTTTCAGCTCCATTATACAGAATCTTCCGGGACCACGCTGTACATACGGCCCATTGTTGACCGTTATGTGGGGCGTGACTGGCTTCCCTCCTGGAGACATTCACCACTGTACTTCTCCCAGTGTTGGTCTCATTGTTCTTGGCTCTGCCATGTCAACTGCCATCCTCTTGACTGCCACTTTCATATATTTTGATTCAAGGTTACAGGTATTTGGTCTTTTTTCCAAGATTCTATTTGTTATTACTATTGTACTATTGTGTCCTCAGCACCAACCACAGTATCTGGCACATAGTAGGGACTCAAACACCTGGTTTCTTTTTTCTGAGACAGGTTTCACTCTGTTGCCCAGGCTGGAGTACAGTGGCATGAACACGGCTCACTGCAGCCTTGACCTCCTGGGTTCAAGGGATTCTCTCACCTCAGCCTCCCAAGTAGTTGGGACCACAGGTGTGTGCCACTGTGCCCCGCTAATTAAAAAAAAAGTTTTTTGGAGAGATGGGGCCTCACCCTGTTGCCCAGGCTGGTCTCGAACTTCTGGGCTCAAGGAATCTTCCTGCCTTGGCATCCCAAAGTGCTGGGATTACAGGTGTGAGCCACCATGCCCAGTCTCAACTATCTGTTTTATGAGAGGAAGAATTTCTTAGGACCTACTGTAATTTGGGGCCAATCTTTTTCTGAGAATTTCCGAAATGTTCATGGTTGTGGTAGGGATTAAAGATATAGCAGGGATGGCCATCTGGGGGAAACTAGAGGAATTCAGGTAAGATGATGGTGGTTACCACTTCCGATTTGTCAGACCAGAGACAATTCATTATCTTGAGTGCTGTACACTTCCATCCTTGGATTGTTTTTATTCTTCTATCACTTCAGCTTCATTCTCCTCCAAGCTCATATTTCCAGAAATAAGTTACAGCCTCCACACCTGGGCATCAGCTGGTTGCACTTCTTCTTTGTGGTCCACTTGAGTGTGACTCTTCCATGTGTTATTTTGCAAGGGTTATCAAAATTTAGGTCATTTGGGAGAAATGGCATTTGCCATGAATTAGAAGGAAGAAGCTCATAAAACAGTTATAATTTATCAGAGAACTCTTCCCTGACTCACTCTACCCTTGTTGGGTCCTTTTATTAAGATATTCTCAAATCTTATGTATGCTTCCTGTGCAGCACTTGTTAGAACTTGTCACACAGGTTTTCAAAATATCTTTTGGTGGCTTTCATTAGACATTAAGTTTCTTGAGATCAGGGACCATGTCTGTCTTTTTTGCTATGTTTCCAGCACTCAGCACAGTACTCAGAACACAAAGTTGCTCAGTGGCTATCTGCTGAATCAATGAGTGTGGGAGCAAAGCCCAGGCTGCTCAAATGTATGTGCTGATGGCATTTATGTGCAGGTAAATAGCTCTTATCCACAGCTTACCTGATTGTACTGTCCAAGCATCAGCACCCTATGACTAAATAAGCAATCAGATGTATTTTATGGGGACTAATTTTCTGAAGTTGGCTCAGGAGGGAAAAAATGGAGACCTGACATGAAATTAATTTATAAATCAGTTTATTTACAGATTTTATCTTTCTTAAAGTATATTTCAGTTAACAAATCTATTTACACAGGTATACATGGGAATTCATCCCAGTTATTTTACAGATCGTACTTACAAACCACACCCTTAAGTGTTCGGTGCAAAATTGCACTGGATGTGACTATTGGCTGAAAATGGCCTGATGACCAGGCTATTTACACGCACACAGTAAACGGGTTTATTTTTTCATGTCTGCACAGTACAGTACACACAAGGAGGCTGAACCTCCCAGAGAATGCTTTGCAATGTGTTTGCCAAGAAGGCTTTGCAAAGTCCAGAAGGAAAAGCTATTAAACATAGGTTAATTAAAATGACAGTACCTCCTTTACATCAGTTTACATTTTTTCTTCACATTTTTATAATACAAAGATATTTTATTGAATTGCTGCACAACCAGTTGAAGATGATTTGTAAACATGTAAATTCCTACAATTTGCATTAAATGTCATTGTAGTTTCTATAATTTGCTCTTTGAATTAATGTTTTATTCACTAGTATTCTTAAGGTAGTAAAAGGAAGATGTAAGTTTGTATTTCTTGCAGAAAAGTTATGAGTCTCTAATGCTGTGCTACAGAAATTCTTTTGCGAGTACACACTTTATTCAAGTATTGCAAAAAGCTAAGGCCACTTTTTTTTCAAGACAAGAAACTGAACAAAATTGTTTTTATCAATAGGCCACAACACTCTTATGAGCAATGAAATCTCTTTTGAAAGATAATTTCTCAGAGACCTGTAGTCACAGAAGGAATTTTCTTTTCTTTTAGGTAAAAGAAAAACAAATTACCTTCCTTATTAACTACGTTTGAGCTCTCCCCACTTTTCCCTATGGTAAAAATTCCTGTGTAGACCTGAAGAGGGAATCTATACCCTGTACTTGTTTAACCCAGAGTTAACTACCCTGGATAGCACAAATTGTTTTGGACTCAGAAGTAAATCTGAAGCCTGTATGTTGGTTTACTGCTAAATTCTGATAGTGCTATTCTAAAAGATATTACTGCTGATGCAAAGATATTTTTCTTAGAGGAATTATGAAGGAAGAGTGAAAGAGGATGAGGGTGTAGGGAGAAGGAACAAAGATTAGAAAGAGGGAATATTTAGGTTCTTGATTAAGAGGCAGAGCTGATTTAAAAAGATACCAATATGGAACGAGTGGCTGGGTATCCACATCTATCTTTCTTAATCCTAAGAATAAAGCCATTTCAATTAGATCCAAATAGTTAATAAGAAATCTGCTAATTATGGATTCTTTTTTCTTTTTTTTTGCTACCAAACTACAGATAACCATTTCTAGAAAAGAATAAGACTGATCCATTTCTGCCTCTCATGTGGAGCCTAGGATTCTTCAGATAGTAAAGACAGTTGGAGTCTGTCAGGACAGCTACTGCCACATTCTTGGCAGCATTTCTTACCAGATTGCTGATTCCATGACTTGTATTTTTTTTTTCTTTTTCTGGAGTCATAATTTCAGAAAGAGTAAAGATAAACTTTCTTATTAAAAACTGGTTTTAGGTCCAAATAATGAAGATGTAGAAAAACAACCTACAGTCCCATTATAACATTTTGAAATTCATTTATAAAAAATTTACAGCAGCTGTAAAGTTTCAGTATCGTAAGGACAACGTGATCCTACAAACAGCCAAAGGATGTAGACAAGATGTTTTTCTGTCTTCCAAATAACACAAACTGAAAAGAAAAGCCTTTGCTTTTCCTTGGCCACATAAAACTAGTATTTCCACACTACTGGTTAATAACCCCAAGAAACCTTTGCTTCTCTTAGTCAATTTGCTCATTATGGCTACAAGACTACAGCTCAACATCACAAGCCCAGAAGAAATGCTGGTAAGACATCAATCTGAGCATTTCCCGAGACCCAATCACAACATTTCAGTGCTTTCCTTATTTGTCAAGAGCTATCATACCAGTCATTGTGCAAAATGCAAATATTCCAATGATTATTTCAGTACATTTCTTAAACGACAAGATGAAACCCAAGAGGAATGGGAGTGTGCATAGTGAAATATTTAAGATGCAAAGGCAAGTTTGGAGGGAAGATGCAGAAATAAACGAACGTGCACACTTAAAGATTATACCATCTTTGGGGTTTTTCTAATATACTTTGAAGCTATAACATTCCAGGATATTTGTAAATATGAATCCAGTAGATGTCTTGTATCATGCTTCTAACCAGGACCTTCAATATTAAGGCATTTACATTCACGCCTAAGAGTATCCACATTCTTCTAGATTACTTGAAGAGGGACAGGACTGATGAACGGAAACCAGTCAAGAAGGCAGGGTACTGAGGTCCCAGGAGAGCATCTCTTATGCTCTAATGTAGCAGCTGGAGTCTATAGATTTTTTTTCAGATGCAGGTAATAGTTGTGAGAAGCAATGCTGCAAGAGAGGCAGAGTTAAATTGTACAGTGTTTTTAAATCATTTTATCCCACTGCTGCTATTGCAGGTGATCTGGAAAAGCCCATCTTCGTTTCACTGAATTAAAATGACTTCTTCAATATGTGTATTGGTTTGTTAAAACCACAGGTTCCTGTGCAAAGACTATGAACCATAGAAGCTTCAAGATGGAGGTTTAACTATTACAAGATGAATCTTTCACTTCTGAATAGGGACACACATTTTCAACTTAATAATTTATCTTAAAATAAATTAAAAAATGTTCCATAGCGCAAAACAAGCACACAAACAATAGACAATATCTTTTTGTCTTTGGTGCACACACTCATTTCCTAAATCATTCAAGTAACAGCATCTCTGACTTCTTGGGGAAAGATGGGAGTTGAAGGTTTGCAGGCCAAAATGAATTATTTCCACTTTGCCATGCCTGGATGCCTGAGATGGTCCTGAGTATCTGTGATTCTGGGAGCAGCTGGTAGAGATTCAGAATGAGTAAGACAAGTGCAGGAGTAAACCAAGGGGTAAAAGAACCAGCCCTGCATTGGTCCTTTGAGCCCAGTCTTCAGTAGGGGCATTTCTTTGTTTTCATGCCCACACAGAGAACACTAAACATAATGCAGAGGTTTAAAATTCTTTAGATGGTGCTCAGAAAGCAAGGCTACCACTTATTCCTGTTAGCCTGACAGTCCACTTGGTGCTGCTCAACTACAATAATGGAAGAAAATGGTCTTCAAAAAGAAATGAAATAAACTCCAGAATGTGAAGTTGGCAGACATTATTGAGCTTGCCTATTTTAGAAGTGGTTAAGGGTTTAATACTGTTTAGAGACTATAATGTCCATTTATGACTTCCATGGTATAGACCAGAATTACATTTCAAAAGTGATGTGATGCATTTATCTATACCTCTCTCACTTGACTTCAGACTCAAAGAAGTGATACCCTAGTCTAAACTCAGAGGTAAGTCAGGTGTTTCTGGCCCTCTGGGACCTAGTAGGGGTGTTAGCAAAAGGTGTAGGATTACACTGTGCAACCCTGCCCACTGAAAATAACCCATTAATCCAGTGGATAGTCTCGAAAGGCAAAGGCTGTAATACCAGGTGTACCACATTGTCCTATGAACTCCATACTGGTAGTCTTTAAGAATAAGTACAAGGTCCAGAAGCACTCTTGCTATGATGGCGATGGGTGTACATCAGGAGGCAGAAAGGCCCAGGACTCACATTAGCACTCAGCGTTCGATTTATTTGCAAGATGTCACACAAGTAGCATTCTCCCCTGCTTTTCACTGATCTGATTCAGAACATCAATAGTATCTTTGATCAGGGTCTCAAAGATCCCGTCGGCTAGCTGCATTTTCACACACAACTCATCCTCATCATAGTTCACCCACTGTGCCTCCTCCTCATGGAGCTCCTGAACCTAGGATTTAGAAGACAATAAGGTTAGAAAATTCCTGTCATACAAAAGCTAGAAAATATAATTGCTGACTTTGTAGTCCTATCCATAGGAATACAGCCCAAGGAAATAAACCAGAGAAAAAAGATAATTCATATGATATCAATACCCCTTTTAAAATTGCAAAAAGTTGAAAAAACCTCAATTGCCAAATATCAAAATGACTTCAAAAATAACATTTGACAATATTCAAGTATTTCATATATATTAAAGATTACCAGTATGTTGTCAATGTCAACGTAAGGGAATATGTATTCCATAAGGAATTCCATAACATAAGAGAATAAGGAATTTAATGGGAGGAAAACACAAAATATTAGACAGAAATGTTCCTCTACTTACAATGGAGTTATGTCCAATAAATTCGCAGTAAATTGAAAATATCATTAAGTCAAAAATGCAGTGAATACACCTAACTTACTGAACATATAGCTTAGCCTAGTCCATCTGAAACATGCTCAGAGCATGTATATTGGTCTACAGTCGGGCAGAATCATCTGCATCACAGTCCACAGGAGAGTATCGGTGTTTACCCTCATGATGGTGTGGCTGACTGCAAGCTGTGGCTCGCTGCTGCTGCCCCCATACCACTTATCACTGGCCCAGGAAAAGATCAAAATTCAAAAATCGAAGTACTGTTTCTACTGAATGTGTGTTGCTTTCATACCATCGTGATGTTGAAAAACAGTAAGTCGAACCCTCATTAAGTAGGGGACATCTGTATATGGATTTACAATTATAAAATGCATATATCGAAAGACAATACTGAATGTGACTCTGGGGTATTATAATAAATGAATAACACTTGTTATAAATAAATTTAACCTTAGGGTATTTTTCAAATGTAATATTGCTGAAGTTTATTTTAAAGTCACTGTTATATTAATACAATACTATTTTTGCATTTTAGGATTCTTATTAGGTAAATAAAAACTAATCAAGTAGAAATAACCTCCCCAGATTTATTGCTTGTTTATAATACATGGGAAAAAAACCTACTTTATTCTAAAAGAAACGCATTAGATTGGCTGGGTGCGGTGGCTCACGCCTGTAATCCCAGCACTTCAGGAGGCCTAGGCGGGTGGATCACCTGAGGTCAGAAGTTGGAGATCAGCCTGGCCAACATGGCGAAACCCCATCTCTACTAAAAATACAAAATCTGCCAGGCATGGTGGCACGCGCCTGTAGTCCCAGCTACTAGGGAGGCTGAGGCAGGAGAATCGCTTGAACCCAGGGGGCGGAGGTTGCAGTGGGCCAAGATTGCGCCACTTCACTGTAGCCTGGGCGACAGAGTGAAACTCCGTCTAAAAAACAAACAAACAAACAAAAAAAACACATTAGATTTGCTATACAAAATGACATTGTGAATGGGATGGAGGCCAGATAAGGAAGTGAACCCTGATCTCAAGTTACAAATTCAGCAAAGTTAATTGCAGTGACAGGGGTCTCTAACTAGAAGTCTTACTTGGCAAAAAAGCCAAGTGACAACATGCTCCTGGCTTGCCCTGATCATAGTTTCATCTTTAAAAAAGCAGAGAAAGTGGGCCGAGCGCGGTGGCTCAAGCCTGTAATCCTAGCACTTTGGGAGGCGGAGACGGGTGGATCACGAGGTCAGGAGTTCAAGACCACCCTGACCAATGTGGTGAAACCCCGTTTCTACTAAAAATACAAAAATTAGCCGGGTGTGGTTGTGTGCACCTGTAATCGCAGCTACTCAGAGAGGCTGAGGCAGGAGAATCGCTTGAACCCGGGAGGCGGAGGTTGCAGTGAGCCAAGATTGCGCCACTGCACTCCAGCCTAGGCGACAGAGTGACTCCATCTCAAAAAAAAAAAAAAAGAGAAAGTGAAGAGGGGAACTTGTACTCTGGTTTGCCTTATAAGGAAACGAGAAGACCCTAGCAAAAAAGAGACTACATCATCCTGAAGCTTGAGAGAGTAAGAGAGGGGAAGAACAGTATTGTCCAACATATATCCTTGGCTGGAGTTGACAAATATGTAACAGGGTGGCTGCCACATTCTTTCTCTTTTAGAAAGGTTGTTTGGAGGATATGTAAACATTTATTCCTCTGTTCCCTAATGTACCACCAAAAAGGGTTCTATGGCCAAATAAAGTTTTGGAGAACTCCCTCTGGGAGAGTTACATTGTACTTAAGCCTATGAGACAGAAGCCCACCAGCAGTAAAGAAACTTGTTTAACTCAGCGTTTCCTATATTTATTTGACCACAGAATCATGGGTATCTACGAAATACTTGTCAACCTACCATGGAATTGGTGTTCCTCTCTTATGAAGGATGCTATAATAAACAGCCTAATATAAGACTTCTTGAACTTGTGCTGAGGGATGGTCTAGGTGTGTGCACAAAAAATTTCACATCCCCAATGAATTTGTTATTCAAAGTTGCGCAGCTTTCCTTTCTATAACAGTTCTTTTAGTCCCCCACCCCGCCCCACTTTTTTTTTGAGACAGAGTCTCACTCTGTCACCCAGGCTGGAGTGCAGTGGCGTGATCTCAGCTCACTGTAACCTCCACCTCCCGGGCTCAAGCTATCTAGCCTGCCTTGGCCTTCCAAAGTGCTGGGATTACAGGCATGAGCCATGCTGCCCAGCCTCTCTTGGCCTGTAATATTAAATCTGTTCTTTGAGCAATTTCCTCCACAATAACAAAATTTAGGAAACACTAAGGAAATCTTTTGTGCACTTGCAGTAGAAATATATGCTCATGACATTTTTTATTCTCTCTCTCGGTGTAACCTCAATGCAGCCCCCACTGAAATGTAAGATTTCGGTGTTGGCAAAAGCTTTGTTCCCACTTAAGAACAGGAACTATTTCTCTGTCAGTCAGTAAGAACATGAACTTTTCCATTTCTCTTTGGCCTTTAGAAAGCTCAGAGCCCAATTTGGATCTTCAACTATAACAACTGGGGGATCTCATAGCCTGCAAATTTGCCTCTATTTTTTTTCCTTCTGATCTTCAGAGTCTATTATATTCTATGACTCATTTCCCCGATCCTGCTCCTGAAGATATATGTATGTATATGTAAAAATTAATACATTTAAAATATAAACAGCTTAATTAATTACATCTAAAAGACTAACAGTTTTTTGTTTTGTTTTGTTTTGTTTTGTTTTTTTGGGAGCAGAGGAGGGGACAGGGTATTAGGCTGGTGGAATAGAGAAATGTAGTAAATAGAATGTGGCCCAATTTCAGCAAGCAGATGCCAGGGTCTTTCACTGTATCCTTGTGAACAAGTTGGGAAAAAAGAGACAGGTTAGGTGGATTTACACTTGTTTGAGACGGGAGTCTCGCTCTGTCACCCAGGCTGGAGTGCAGTGGCGCCATCTCGGCTCACTGCAACCTCCACCTCCCGGGTTCAAGTGATCCTCCTGCCTCAGTCTCCCGAGTAGCTGGGATTACAGGCATGCGCCACTATGCCCGGCTAATTTTTGTATTTTCAGAGAGATGGGGTTTCACCATGTTGGCCAGGCTGGTCTCAAACTCCTGACCTCAGGTGATCCATCTGCCCCGGCCTCCCAAAGTGCTAGGATTAGGTGAGCCACCGTGCCTGGCTAATTTACACTTTTTTGATTAAAGGACAGCTCTCAACCTGCAAGGAAGTTTCTGCCTCAAAGACTCGGAGTTTTTCCTCTGTGCTCCCATTCTATCTTCTTCATATTCCATTACAGCAATTATCATGCTAAATTATATACTGTGTATCTGTTTTCCCACTAGGCTGTGAGCTCTTAAAGGGCCATTTCTTTTTATTTATGATTCCCTCATGACTAGGACAGTGCAAATAGAAGGTGCTATATAAATATATGGCATATAGAATAGATAAGTTTTGTGAATGCTGAAAGGCTGTCTTTAGCTCTACTTCATTGTTTTTAGCAATGACCTAGATGAAGGCAGGTACATCAATTTTAGAAATGACACGAAGCTGGGAAATATAATAATTATGTTCAAAGAAAGAATCAAGAAATGTGGTGGTAGCCTGGAACAATGGGCCACATTTAACAAGATGAAGGAATAAATAAGGTTCTGTAATAGGGTCCAAAAAAATCACTACAAAAGCACAGGTTGAGCACAGGTTGGTCTTGGGGTTTTCCTCAGCTCCTGTAAGTACTATAAGTAAGATACAGGTAAAAAAAAAAAAAATCATAAACTGTACTAATCAAAATGTACTATCTAGAAAAAAATAGGTTGAATGACTACTAATTAAATAATACACGAGGCTGGTCGCGGTGATGCATCCCTATAATCCTAGTGATTTGGAAGACCGAGGCAGGAGGATCCCTTGAGCCCAGGAGTCCAAGGCTGCAGTGAGCTACCATCATGCCACTGCACTCCAGCCTGGGTGACAGAACAAGACCTTGTATCTAAAAACAAAAACAAAACCATGAAACATTATAAGGCTAACTCTGAGCACTGTATTTAAAGAGGGACACTGACAGAGCTACAGTTGATGTTGAAGGGACTCAAAACTATATCAGACAACAGGAGACAATACTAATGTTTTATAAGGAGAAAAGACCCGGGTCAAACATGATAGCTATTTCAAAAGGGTGTAGAAAAAATTAAAGTTGTTACGTAAAGCCCCAAAGCTATAGAAGCAAATTGTAATTAATTGTGTGAAAGCCAACTTAGGCTTAATATGAGAAAGACGTAGAGACAGGAGGAACTCAGGAGTGCTGAGTGTCCTTCTCATCAGTTCCCAGGCTATAAAGGAGACTCAATCATTAGCTAGGTGGTCCTACTACAAGATTTGTCATCTTAGGTGCAATTCTACCTACAGTACGGAGATTTTTCAAGGCTACTGTACATAAAGGTTATACAAACGGTGCTCTAATTACTTGCTACTCATTCCACAGCATCTATACTTTGAGAATGTACTGCTAAAAATAGCTCAAATTCTTAGCTAACCTAAGATATAAATTAATCAATGCCTTTGTGAAAGAAAAAGGGGGAGTGAATGAGAACTAGAGGTGAAAGAAAGATTTCTCATTTGGCTAACAGAGGCCTTTATGTCTAAAAAATTATTTGCATTTTATTCACCTCAAATAATGCCTGAAGACACAAATATAGTTAGATTGATTAGGGACATCCTCAGCCCAAGCAACAACTAAAATATACATTTTCTTAAATTGGAAGAAGCAACTGTTTATTATGAAATGTTTAGTAAGATAGTTTATCATGTTACAAATGTTTTAAAAGGGGGTAATTAAGATTTTGATAAAAGAATCACCACAATCAAATGGGATTTATTGCATACACAATCAATAAATATGATACACCACATTAACAAAATGAAGGCTAAAAATCAGAGGATCATTTAAATAAATGCAGAAAAAGCCTTTGATACCCTTTCATGATAAAAACTCTCAACAGATTGGTATAGAGGAAATAATACCTCAGTAGAAAGGCCATGTATGACAAACCCAGAGCTAACATAATTCTCAGAAGTTGTTTTGAACATGTGAAATTTGAGATGTCTAATAGACATCCAAATGGAGATACTGAGTAGGCAAATGGCTATATGCATCTGGAGTCAAGCAAGAGTCCTAGGCTGGAGATATGAATTTGGGAGTGGTGAACATACAGATCGTAGTCAAAGCCATGAGACTGAGAAGGAGTGTAGACAAATAAAGAAGAGGTCCGTGGGCGGATTCCAGGAGCATGCCAACATTTCAAGGTGAGGATGAACCAACAAAGGAGACCAAGGAGCAGCAGCCAGTGAGGGAGCAGAAAGCCAGGTTTCAAGGAAAAGGGAGGGATCAACTGTGTTGAATGCTGCTGATGGGTCAAGTAACACAGGAACTGAGATTTACCACTGGGTTTATTAATCCAAGCAGATTTGGTGGCATGGATGAGGTAAAACCTTGACTGGAGTTTGGTTTCATGAAAGACAGATTAGGGAGTGTAAAAATGGACATATTAAAGGAGTTTTATTGTAAAGGGAAAATTGGAGGGGGAAGTGATGACAAAAGAGTTATTTTAGCTTTAAAGAAATATGAGTTGGTATGCTAATGGAAAAGATTCAGTAGAGAAAATGTATAATGCGGGGGAAGTGACGGCCTATGCTTATTATTAGTCCAAGTGCTTTTGCCTTCAAGAATGCTGTATCAGGTGGCGGATTAAAACTGCTACACCTGAAATAGCTTTAAGTGCAAGGAAAAAGTTACTGTGAATCAATGAAAATAATTATATTAATAATATCTAATATTTTTGAGAGCTCCTTAGATGCCACTTAATACATATTAGATCTTGGTTAATCATCCCAACTCTACGAGGTTGCTACTTTAAAGAGCGGGAGACTGAGAAAGAGAGGTGAGAGAACTCACCCAAAATCACAATGTTAATAAGTGGTAAAGACAAGACTGGACACTTACAAGCTGTTTGATTCCAGAGACCTTGCTCTTAACTGCTTATGCCATTCTCTCCATTTATAAAAGAATCCCCATGAGAGAACTTTGGGGTTTATTACATGCAAAAATACTGAAGGAGGCTCAGGAAGATTCAGAAACTTTTAAAACTAGAGATCCTAAGCAAAATTCCCAATAGTCAAAGCTCTAGAAAAACAATAAAAAAAATCCATTTTATAGGAAAAGGTGACTTCATTTTATCTATAGTATTGGGCTGTCCAAAATATTAACCACTGTCTTCTCCTGCTCTTTTGAACTACAATATCCAAATATTAATTATAGATAAAATTTGAAAAACTCTTGGAATATATCAAAAAACAACAAAAAACAACTCTACAAGAAAACTACAGCTGTCAAGAATCAGTTCCAGCAGAAATGGTAAAGATAATGCCAAAAAAGTCCTCATATAAATATGTAGATGTATTAGATAAAATATAACAAAAATATTTGTATATTTAAAATATATATATTTGTGTATATTTAAAATATATATTTGTATATATTTTGTATATATTTTAAAATATATATTTGTATATATTTTAAAATATATATTTGTATATATTTTAAAATATATATTTGTATATATTTTGTATATATTTTAAAACATATATTTGTATATAAAATATAAATTTGTATATTTAAAAATATAACAAAAGAAATTCTAAGAAAGGAGGGAAAATCCTAAGTAACAAATAGTGATTTAAAAGAGGGGCAAGCGCTATGACTAACTAAGGGAGGAGTTACGAGCCATGGAAAGAGAATTAAGGCCAAAGATGTCTAAAGAAGTTCCATAGAGAATTGGGAAAGCTGGAAGAAGCATCTTTTAAAAGACAATAGCTGAGAATTTTCCAGAACTGAGTAAAGATATGAATCTATAGATTCAATAAGCACAAGGAGTCTAAAGCAGAATAAAAGCAAATCCACATTTAGACATATCCAGAAAAATTACAGAATACACGCACACACACACACAATCTTAAATGGAAAACAGAAAAGACCAATTCCCCATAAAGAACTGTCAGATTTCTCAAAAGCAACGAGAGGTCAGAATGATATAAAAGTTAAAAAAGAAATTACTTAAGCAGATAGGGTAAGGAAGTCCTTGGTAAGGTTTTCCTTTTAATGAAAAGCAGTCCCCAAATGATTTTTTTTTTTCTAACGAAGAGCAGCCTGTAAAATCAAGCTGCAGACACAGACAAACAAGCTGGAAGCTTGCACAAGCGAATGCCGGCAATTGTGCCAATAGAAAAAACTACCTGTGGAATAGGCCTGTTCAAAATGGCAGCTCCATCTTCTCTTCTCTTTGCCACATGCACAGTAAGGAGCAGGCAAGATGGCACTGGCCAAGTAGAAAATCTATTTGCATAATAAGATTAGGGTGGGGTGACCAGCCTTCCCCACACACCAGTAAACATCACACCTGGTGGAACCAATCTGTGGGCCCTATGTAAATCAGATACCACCTCTTAAAGCCTGCCTATAAAATCTGCTGCGGTCCACCGCTTTTCCTTTTTCGGAACACCTCTCTTTCATAAAAGAGAGAGCTGCTCTCCTCTCTCATTTCTTCTGCCTATTAAACTTTCCACTCCTTAACCCACTTCATGTATGTGTGTCTGTGTCGTTAATTTTCTCAGCTCGAGACGACGAACCCTGGGTATTCACCGCAGACAATGATGCTGCTTCAAAATTATAATGAGATATCTTCAAACTGCTTAAGTAAAAAGAGCTATCAACTTAAAATTCTATATACAGCTAAAATATAACTCAAAAGTAAGAGCTGAAATAAAGACATTTTAAAGACTGAGAGTTTACATTAAAGGCCTGAAGTTAATGAAATACTAAGTGTGTACTTTAGGTAGATGCAACCGAGCTCAGAATGAAGGAAAAGGATGCAGAAACAATGCACCTATATTATTTTCTATTCTTTTTTATACTTTAAAAATATTTCATAATTAAACATGTAAAAGACTTAGAAAAATAACCAATAATGGGTGAAAAGTGTAACAAAATCATAGAGCAAAATAAGCTCATTCTTTTAGTAAAAACTTAAAACATGGCTAATAATTCCCATAGCCCTTGTTATAGTCTTGTTAAAATGTGGGGGGTTGGCCAGGTGCGGTGGCTCCCGCCTGTAATCCCAGCACTTTGGGAGGCCGAGACAGGTGGATCACCTGAGGTCAGGAGCTTGAGACCAGCCTGGCCAACATGGTGAAACCCCATCTCTACTAAAAATACAAAAATTAGCCAGGCATGGTGGCATGCGCCTCTAATCCCAGCTACTCCGGAGACTGAGACAGGAGAATTGCTTGAACCCGGGAGGCGGAGGTTGTAGTGAGCCGAGGTGGTGCCACTGCACTCCAGCCTGGGTAACAAAGCGAGACTCTGTCTCAAAAAAAAAAAAAAAAAAATGTCAAGGGTGTTAGGCCTCAGTGGCAGGCCCGCCCTCCTTTCACTCTAATGTTCCCCTACCTTTCTGACTGTGGGTCTTAAGGCCCTCCCATGAGAGGGTCCTACCCAATACCTTGGGGGAAGGAATGCTGATGTCATGAAGCTTTCAGAAAAACCCAAGAGGAAAGAGTTCAGGTAGCTTCTGGATAGCTAAACCTGGAGGTTCCTGGAGGGTGGCAGCCCAGGGAAGGCATGGAAGTTCTGTGCCCCTTTCCCATACTCCACCCTATGCGTCTCTGTATCCTTTGCAATATCCTTCCTAATAAACCAGTAAACCTAAGTAAGTGTTTACTGAGTTCTGTGAGCTACTCCATCAAATTAATTAAACCCAAAGGTGGATCTTGGGAGCCCCAACTTGAAGCTAGTCCATCAGAAGTTCTGGAGGCCTGGACTTGCAACTGGTATGTGTGTGTGGAGGGGGCAGGGGCAGTCTTGGGGACTGAGCACTCACTCTGTGGGATGTGACACTATATCTGGGTAGGGAGTATCAGAACTGATTCAGAGGATACCCAGCTGGTGTCCACTGCTTGGTGTGTGGGGGAAAAGTCCACACACATATGGTCACAGAAGTTTTCTTGTGTGGTGATGATTGTTGTAATGTGAGAGTAGAGGAAGTGGTTTGAGAAAACTTTTACGTGTTATTAAAAAATTGTTTTAAATCTCAATCCCCCTAAAATGTAAAAACATTAGAATCTGCAAATACAAGGTTTACCAAATCTAATTATGGGAGAGGAGACTAGTTCATTTAGCATTTCTTGTTAATAATTAGCTCAAGAAGCTGACAGTATCATTTTGTTAAAAAAAAAAATTAAGAAGAACGAGCTCATGCAAAAAGTTATATAGGTCAGGTCTCTCTGTAGGAAGCTAAAAAATATTTTACAACCAGCAAAGGGGATAGTCACATAATATATACTTTATTATTATTGTTTACCAGTTGCTAAATTGCTTCAATTCTTATGCACAGTACTCCCCTCACCCAAGCTATAATAACCTTACCCCTGCAAAAGAAATATTTTGTTTAGTATTTGAGAATTTCTGATAACTGTTAGAGAGATGTCTGCTTAACTGACCCTGTTTGGCACCTACTGGAAGCCTCTGCTGTCAGGGTACTGATATGGTTTGGCTGTGTCCCCACCTAAATCTCAACTTGAATTGTATCTCCCAGAATTCCCACGTGTGTGGGAGGGACCCAGGGGGAGGTAATTGTATCATGGGAGTCTTTCCCATGCTATTCTCGTGATAGCAATTAAGTCTCACAAGATCTGATGGGTTTATCAGGGGTTTCCACTTTTGCTTCCTCCTCATTTTCTCTTACTGCTGCCATGTATTCATCTTTAAGATCTGAGCTCAAATGTCACTTCCTCAGAGAAGCCTGCCTTGACCATCCTCATTATATCAGCTTCCTGTGGTTTTAACAGCTCCCTATTCTTCCATTTTTATGCATAACTTACACACTTGTGTGTAAACGATATATTAATGGCTGGTTTCTGCCTTCAAACTGGAAATCTATGAAGGTGGGGTCTGTGTCTGTTTTGCTTACTATTGTTAACATCAGTCCTTAATTAGCACAATTTTTGACTCAATGTATATACAGAGGTGATTTATAGGGGATATCATCAATTTAGCTGATAGGTTAGATGAATGCCTCTTAATATGCTTTTTTCTTTAATTCCTAAGAAGTAAAGGAAGTAACAACTTGGAAATTAATAACAATTCAGACTTTAAGACATGATAGAAATAGGAGAACAAATTCACTTTCTTGAGATGTGAAGATCTATGAAGAATTAGTTGATTAAAATCTCGTCTCTTATTTTACTGGGCAAGTCACTTAACATCTTTGAATCTAAATTTCCTCATTTGTAAAACAAAGAATAACATTAGTCCTTCCTACCTCATGTAATTATTGTGAGGATCAAATAAGGCGTAAGACACCTCATTTGTAAAACAAAGGATAACATTAGTTCTTCCTACCTCATGTAATTATCGTGAGGATCAAATAAGGCATAAGACACTGGGCGCGGTGGCTCATGCCTGTAATCCCAGCACTTTGGGAGGCCAAGGCAGGCGGATCACTTGTGGTCAGGAGTTTGAGACCAGCCTGGCCAACATGGCGAAATCCCATCTCTACTAAAAATACAAAAATTAGCTGGACATGGTTGCAGGTGCCTGTAATCCCAGCTACTCGGGAGGTTGAGGCATGAGAATCACTTGAACCTGGGAGGCAGAGGCTGCAGTGAGCAGAGATTGTGCCACCACACTCCAGCCAGGGTGACAGAGCGAGACTGTGTCTCAAAAAAAAAAAAAAAAAAAAAAATCAAATAAGGCATAAGAATGATAAACTATAAAATACTAAGCAAATGTTATCTAGTACAGTTATTACTGAGTAAATGAAACACTAGAGAGGTACATACATGAGAACGGTGATAAATTTAAGTATTACACTTTTTTTCATTATATAAATGTCAATATAGATAAAAGGTCCAGAATTAAAATGTTTAGAGTGAAACCTGAATTTTTCTTTTTTTCTTTTTTGATAAACACTTTCCTAATGTTACAGAAATATATTGCAAAACCAAATAAATCCTATCCAGGGAATGTTCTGGATAATGATAATAGTGATGATGATGAGGTAACAGCTATTATTTACTGAGTTGTATATGAGGAACTATTCTAAGTGCTTTACACATATACTTATTTAATTTTCTTAATAATTTTATCAGGTAAGTACTATTATTGTTACCTTCACTTTGCACAAAAATGTTAGACAAATTTGTCCAAGATTACACATCAAGAGATTTAAACATGGGCAGTCAGGCTCCAGAGTCCACACTGGTCTCTTTTCAATTCACTACCTTAAACTTTGCTTCCATTTGAGTAAATTTCTCAAGTTCTACATAAAATACTATTGATCAAGTTAAATGTTCATCTACTGAGTACAAAAGAAAATAGTTAACAAAACTGAGGGGTAGAAATGCAGCAAGTAAAGGCTTTAAGATTTTAATACCATAGATTTAAGAATAAGTCTATCCCTTTTCCTTTTAGAATCTAACTGCATTCTGAGTTTAAAAGATATGGTCAAAATAAAAACAGTTTGGTTGTATACACTGACCAGGATATGATCCACTCGGTCTCTTTTCTTTCTTCCAAATTTCATCATTTTCTGCCAATCTGTTTTGTGGTTTGGCTCCTTTTTAAGACTGAACAACTTGAGTACTTCACTTGCTATGAAGCTCTGTGGAAACAAGACAAATACACGAAACACAAACAACAGAAATTCCTGAGTTTCATGTGTTTACAATGCAGTAAACAGATTCACGATAAGAATATAATATTTACAATAAAATTATCATACAAATTTCTTCCACTTACAGTTCCACATAGCAATTTGAAGGGAAAAGCATTCCAAATGCTGAGACTTTATTCACTTACGCAACATATAAAAGTAAAACCTAGCTGGGCACGGTGACTCACGTCTGTAATCCCAGCACTCTCTGAAGCCAAGGCAGGAGAATCACTTGAGCCCAGGAGTTTGAGACCAGCCTGAGCAACATAGTGAGAGACCTCATCTCTACAAAAAATATATAAAATTAGCTGGGCATGGTGGTACATGACTGTAGTTCTGGCTACTCAGGAGGGTGAGGTGGGAGAACTGATTGAGCCCAGGAGGTCCAGACTGCAGTGAGCTGAGATTGCACCACTGCACTCCAGCCTAGGTGACAAAGCGAGATCTTATCTAAAAATAACAACAACAACAACAACAACAAAGTAAAACCCACTGATTAATCTGCAAAGAAAAATCACTTTAGAGTTTACTTAAGAACTACCATGCTGGGTGCGGTGGCTCACGCCTGTAATCCCAGCACTTTGAAAGGCCAAGGCGGCGGATCACCTGAGGTCGGGAGTTCGAGACCAGCCTGACCAACATGGAGAAACCCTGTCTCTACTAAAAATACAAAATTAGCTGGGTGAGGTAGCGCATGCCTGTAATCCCAGCTACTCAGGAGGCTGAGGCAGGAGAATCACTTGAATCCAGGAGGCGGAGGTTGCAGTGGGCTGAGATCACGCCATTGTACTCCAGCCTGGGCAACAAGAGTGAAACTCCACCTCAAGAAAAACAAAGAAAAAACAACAACAAAACTACCATTAGCTAACTTCAAGCTGGCAAAACTACTAAAGAAAGCATAAAATAAATCTCTGAATTGGAAAAATCTCAAAGAAATTTTTGGGGACAATGTAATGTGAGAAAAGCAAAAGACTTTGGGATAGTTTATTTTGAAGCACCAAAACTCAAATATGTTAAATTAAAAAATATCAACACTTCAGTATGAGAAGCATAATAATTTTACTACTAACAATATTTGAACTATCACCCTTAAAAACTTTACAAAATGTTATGTCAATATTAAAATTAGTGGGCATTTATTGTATGCTATATTGATGCATGTAGTTTGATTGTTGGTATATATTATATATCTTGTCTTACCTCAACTTAATGTTATTAATAATTTATTTTGTTACTTTTATGGTTGTTCTGTTAAAAAAACAATGTTCTTAACAGGGGAAGGGACACATTTATGAATCAGAATCACCTGGAAAGATTCTCAAAGTACCAACGTGCCCGGAAATTCCATCACTCCCTACCTGTTCACAGACACACATAGCATTCAAGCATTTTCAATTGTGAAAGGGTAGAAGGAATGGAGTATACAATGTGTTTTTAAAAAGCTAGTTACTTTAAGCCAGGGGATGGCCAATTTTTTCTGTAAAAAATCAGACTGTAAATATTTTAGGCTTTGCGGGCCATGTGGTCTTTGTCACAACTATTCAATTCCACTGTTGTAGTTACATGTAGTTGTAACATGTAAACAACTAGGTATGGCTGTGGTCCAACAAAACTTTATTTATAAAAACATACAGGGGCCTGGATTTGGCTTATGGGCCATAGTTTGCCAACCCCTGAGGTAAGCATACATCCCATCTCATAAATATCTGTTGGTGTTCTATAAGTATAAAATATTTTTAAAGGCTTTCTGTGATCAAATAAGTTTGGGAAATACAAGTTTAAAGCTTTGCTACTCAGCGTGGTCCTGGGACCAGCAGGACCAGCAGGACCAGCAGGACCAGCATGACTTGAGAGCTTGTTGGAAATGCAGAATTTCAGGTCCTACTCCAGACCTACTAAATCAGAATCTCCATTTCAACAAGATCCTCAGATCATTCACATGCACATTAAAAGTTGAGAATCACTGCTCTGGAAATATAACCTTTGCCGTAAAGAAACATGTGACTAGGCAGAGCAGATTGCCAGCAATGTGACTTTAAAGTTCATAGTCCTTGTAGCTTCTGGACAAAGGTTTACAAAGGTTTCTTAGATAACAAAATAAATATTTTTACGTATCACATTACTATCCTACATAGTTCAAAACCACATTACCAATTTGAAACCTCCAAAGTCAAAGATAAAGAAGTTAACACCTATGTGTCCAGGGCTGGCATATTGAAAAGACATATATATGACACGTATTCATATGTACTTTTAGAACATTATACCTATCTCTAAAGCCCCCAAAACTTACCTAAAACTCCTATTAGTTGCAATAATTTATCTCCCTAGGTATTTCCTAATTTTTCTTAAATATTATAATTATGTATATAGAGAAAATGACTGGTAAAAGAATTTTTTTTTTTTTTTGCACAAACTTGAGGATTCAGCCCTTTCACTCATTCCAATCCCTCCACTGTTCATGGATTCAGTAAGTCAACAAATCTTTATTGAATACCCACTATGGAACAGGTCCTGAAGACACAAAGGTTAATCATACAGAAGAGCACCTGCTTTTACAACATTTACAGATATGTGTAAATGAACAGCAAGTCAAAAAAGAAGACACTTTATAGTTTGCAGTTTACCTTGATTTCATCAAGGTTATTTGGATTTTTCACTCGTCGGAAATAACTAGAGTTGATTCTACATGGCTTCATCCAGACAGGTTGATTTAAGTTGGGATCCTCAGCAAATATTTCCTCAAAAATCTCTTTTGTTAAATCAAAAACCGCCTTGATAGAGAAAAACAAAACAAAACAAAACAAAATGGCTAAGAATCCAAATTTCAGACAATGGGAGAAAAGTTTAAAAACTAAAATTATCCTTTTATTTCACCTACCTGTTTGTAGACCCTTTTACTAGTGCTTTCTATATCTAGACCTTTACTGGCACAGCCAAGCAGTTTTGTAGGAATACTGATGCTATGAAGATCGTGGCCTAATTCTTTCCATTTCCAAAGTTCTTCTGCTGCATTATGTACAAGAATCTCTACTTCTTCTGCAGTATGGGGGACTGCCAATAATGTTTCACATGGTTGTTGGGTTACTCTTTTAGGTTCTGCCATTAGAGGTACAATGGTTTCTTCTGCCTTATTTTTTTGGATCTTGTGAGAAGAGCTCAAACCAAAGTCTTCATCAAACCAGTCTTGATCATCTCCTAACGCGCTCAGGAACTCCCGGCTGAGTTCAAGTTCAGCAAGTCTCTTAGCAAGTTCTTCCTGCCCACTGGCACCAAATACTGGGCTCTCCTATAGAAATGGAACCATTCAAACAGAGCACCATTTAGGGACCTCATATCATTTTTTTTTAAAAAAAGACAGAGTAAATGCATTATTTATATATCTAATATTTCTCTATAAGTAAGCAGAATAAAAAACAATATGGTGGCTACTAATAAACAATCTAAGAAAAAGTTATCCTGTTCCCTCAATTCTACTTATATAAACCTTGCATATAACTGAATTTTTATAAAATGTTTATTGATTAGGGCTCTCCCCGCTTTTTGTATTATCATTATTCTGTTTCTAAAGAACTGTCTATGGGATATGGAAATGGGATATAAAATTTCTCACCTCTGGTGACCATCTGGCTCAAGTTACTCAAAGTCATTACTTTTGCTCAACTGTCCATGGGCAACATAAACAAGCTGATGGTCTGAGTGCATGTCATAGTGGATCTATTTCATTTTACCAGAATCAACATCACAACTGCTAACCTCTGCAGGCCAACCATGACTGAGTAGATATGTAAACAATTTCACAGGCAAAAAAGAATTGGGTGGTGAGCCACTGGAAAGCTCCATGGAACGAATTTGTTCAGTGAATCTGGAAGGAGATGTAATCTATGGACAGTACAGGGGTTGTCAACTCAGCAGTTTAAATGGATGTTTTAGTTCCCCAAAACCTGCCAGTGCTTGTGACAACCCTATATTGACTACTCATGACATAATAGAGGACAATTACACTTCAGCCAGGAAAAACAGCTACAAGGCCTTTAAAAACCAGTACAGTGATCCTTCTCTAATAAACAACACGTCAAGGGAAAAAAAACCTATCAGGAGTCACAGAATTAAAATGTACTATATAGGCAAGGTAAGTTGCCTTGTTAAAAGTGTCAAAAGGTATACTGATACTTTTTCTAGACGAAATACTCACCGGTCTGGGACACATATCTGGAGAGGAAATCTCTTCTTTTTCATCTTCCAATTCAGAACTTAAGAAGCAACCTGAAATACTTGGCGACTGTTCCTCAACATTTTGGGATAGGTCTTGGGGTGTTACTTTCTTTTGGTCATCACCAAGAAGCTCCTGATTGCTAAGCTGGATTTTCTCATCCCTGGTTTTTTTGATTTGTTGTAGTTGATTGACTGTGTCCTTTACAAAGACTTTTAGTAAACTGTCTGTCAGTAAGCTGATTTTTTCCAGTTGTTGTTTTGACTTTTTTTCCTCATTTAGTGATGACTTCAGCTGGGCTTCCAGTTGGTTTTTTTCTCTTGTTAAAAGATCCAGAAGTGGTGTACAAAGCTTTTCTGAAGCTTCAGCATATAGGTTGTCTTCCTCTTCTGTAAACTGCTGTTGCTTCTCCAATTCTTCGGAAAAGGTATTGTCTAAAGTGTCATCTTCTGCAGCGATGGAAACCTTTTCTGTGGCATCAGAAATGAGGTCTTTGTTTTCCTTTGAAGAAATCTGTGAATCCACTGAAGACTGCTGGTGAACATGGGCTTCAAGTACCCCAGAAATGTCCTGTACATTGTCTGTTTCTATTTTAAGGCTTCTACTTCTATTAACTGAGGCTTCTATATCATTCACACTAGGTAGGGATTTCTCATAAAAATATTCACTGACATCCTTTTCTCTGTCTTTTGGACCCTCTGTATCATTTTGCTCTTGATTATAGCACTGATATCGTTCATCTGAGTAACAGTCTTCATCTTCATTAATGTCTACATAGTCATCAAAGTTTTCTGGAATGTGAGATATTTTTTGAGGAGGAGCAAAAATACCATGCTTTTCTTTGCACTCAAAATATGCAATACCATCATATGTTCCATTGTTATTTCCTTCAGGTTTATCTAACTCCACTCCGGCCCAAAATCCTTTAGCAAAACTAGTCTCACCTTTGAATCGAAGAATTCCTGGCTGAACATTTCCAATCAACACCCTATCACCAATGTGGAAATCAAATAACTCGTCTGCAGTAGGAACTGAAGCCAAGGAAGGGGATTCAGTAACTTGCTGTTCATGCTCCACATCACTGCGCTCCTTACTTTTCATCAGCTCAGTAGGGGACTTGAGTTCCAACAGCCTGTCAGAATGAACATTGCTATGGATAGAAAGGCTTTTCTCACTTAGGCACTCACTGATTTCCTCATTACTACCAAAGCTAGTGGCTCCACTTGTAGAGCTCCTCATTGGCTGTGGCTTATCTCTGCAAGACTGAGAGTCTTTCCTGAGTGACAGCAAAGATGACACCTCAAAATCATCTTTGTACAATTCAGCTGAAATTTCTTTCTTGAAAGAAGACACTTCAAAATCTTCAGAGTATGGTATCTCTTTAGGAGCAAAAAGATGTTCTGACCAAGACAAATCTTTTTCCTTTGTGTTCTTTTGTTCGTGAATGTCTTTTCCTGATTGGATGTTTGGACTATGATTCATATCTTGATCTGACTGTCTCTCTTTCAACATTTCCTCACTTTTATGGAGATTTTCAATAGCTAATCCAACTAGGTCTTTCTGAACATTTTCAGAATCTAAAGGAAGATCTTTCTTTGAAAGAATTTCAGATGAATCTCCCTGTTCTAGGACTAATTTCAGTAAGACATCAGATTTACCTTCTTTAGAAAAGGCATCTTCAATCTTACTCTTCTTCAATTTTGTATACTCTATTTCTTTTATTTCTGATTTTTTACTAGATTCTCCAACCTTGCCATCTGACATATCAAGAATTCTACTAGTGGCATTTAATTCTTTGAGAAGATGTAATGCAGGTACATTTTCTAGAGAATCTCCAGATTCTTCTCTGATTTTCCTTGATGATCTGAGAACTGGAGATGGGGTCTGAAAATCTTCTGTTCGACTGTCCCATTCATTTACTCTCTTTGCATATGCAGATAAAGACCTTTCTGATACTGATCTCTCAGAACCAGACAGTGAAGCATCTTAAAGAAAAAACAAATCACCACATCAAAATTATTTAATCACTATCTTTCAATTTTGTGAACCAAAGTTTAGAGAAAAGCCAAATTTTAGTGAAAAAAACCCCTCTAGTCAATAAATATGACCTGTTTTGGCTACTTTATAAGTTTTTCTTTTAAGAGAATATCATCTGTATCAACATTTAAAATTACTGAAAATTCTAAAGTTTGGAATAATTTCTTAAGCACTGTCTTAACTTATAAAGTGAAGAAAAATGTATCTAAGTTGATGGAACCATTGCTTTGCACATTCATCCTCAAATCATGCAAAAATAGAATTGTATGATGGTTATTACAAACATTTTTCAAACAGGAAACTAGTGAAGGAGAAACAGACTTCCATATATACTTCTAAAAGAATACATTTTCCTAGGAGCTTCAACTAAGCTCTTGAATTAAAAAGAAAATAGATCAACTATTTCTGCAAATATAGCACTTTAAGAGCTAAACGTGCAAAATATGATCAAAGTACAATATAGTGAGCTAACAAACCAAGAGTTAAAAGTTTTAAATTCAAATCGTTTTTTTTTTGTAAGAGCAAGAATCTGCTCTGTCACCTAAGCTGGAGTGCAGTGGTCACAGCTCCCTGTTGCCTTGAACCTGGGCTCAAGCGATCCTTAGCCTCAGCCTCCTAAGTACCTGGGATTATAGGCACGAGCCACTGTGCCTGGCCAAATCTCTATTTGTCACTGATGTTTCTTTGCACCTCAGTTTTATTTTCTCACTGAATTACATTTTTTTTTTTTTTTGAGATAGTGTCTCAATTTGTCACCCAAGCTGGAGTGCAGTGGCTGATCACAACTCGCTGTAGACTCAACTGCTTGGGTGTAAGCGATCTTCCTGCCTCAGCCCTGCAAATAGCTGGGACTATAGGTGTGCACCACCATGCCCAGCTAACTTTGTATGTTTTGTAGAGATGGAGTTTCACCATATTGCCCAGGCTGGTCTCAAACTCCTGAGCTCAAGTGACCTGCCTACTTCAGCCTTTCAAAGTGTGGGGATTATAGGCGTGAGCTGCTGCGCCTAGCCTACATTTTATTTTTAATAATTAACTTTCTTTTGGTTAAACTGAAAAATGTATACAGCTATTTAGCTAAGAAATAGTTAGGCTGAAAATATATATAACCAGATTAAAAATCTGGTTAGGGGAAATTCAGAGATGCAGATGATATACTCAGCTATTTAATCTTTATACTTTGGTTTTTCTCATAAATTTTGGACAATAAAGACTGATTCAGCTGAGTGTGGTGGCTCATGCCCATAATCTCACCACTTTGGCTGAAGTGCTGGTAATGTTCAACCAGGCTGAGGTGGGAGGACTGCGTGAGTCCAAGAGTTCGAGACCAGCCTGGGCAACAACGGTGAGACCCCCCCGTCTCTTAAAAAAAAAAAAAAGATGAGCTGGGCATGGTGGCATGTGCCTGTGATCCTGGTCCTGGCTACTTGGGAGGCTAGGATGGGAGGATTGCTTGAGCCCAGGGGGTCAAGGCTGCAGTAGTAAGCTATGATCATGCCACTGCACTCCAGCTTGGGTGACAGAGTGAGACCCTGTCTCGAACAAAAAAAAAACCCAAAAAACTAAAACAAACAAAAAGGATTCATATAATTTACACATAGCCAATAAATCACTTTAAAATATAAAAGTAACTTTAAAATGTTAAATAATCTACTTAAGAAATTCACTTTTTAATAAAAAAGCTATAGAGGTAGAATTTTGTAGGCCTTTGCATAAATCCTTAGACTATGTAGCTACAAGTTAATTATTTTTTCTAGTTACATACCAACATGTTCAGCAATAGACTCCAGGGATCCTCTGGAACGTTCTGACTCTGTTAGTGATTTCCAATTCTTTGCCGTTTCAGATCTGACGTGTAAAAATTAATGAGCAGAAATAAACATATTACTATAATAACTGGTAACAAAAAGCAGACATTCTTAGACAACTGCTTCTTTCCTCTTCTCTACAGTAGGTATGTCAATCTATGTCACTTTCATCAAGCCTATTTCTTTTTTTTTTTTTTTTTTTTTTTTTGAGACGGAGTCTCGCTCTGTCGCCCAGGCTGGAGTGCAGTGGCGCGATCTCGGCTCACTGCAAGCTCCGCCTCCCGGGTTCACGCCATTCTCCTGCCTCAGCCTCCCGAGTAGCTGGGACTACAGGCGCCCGCCACCACGCCCGGCTAATTTTTTGTATTTTTAGTAGAGGCGGGGTTTCACTGTGTTAGCCAGGATGGTCTCGATCTCCTGATCTCATGATCCGCCCGCCTCTGCCTCCCAAAGGGCTGGGATTACAGGCGTGAGCCACCGCGCCCGGCCTCATCAAGCCTATTTCTAACTCTCATCACTCTCACTAGATGACCTTGCCTTTGTCACTAGATGACAAAAACAGAGGCCAACAGGCATGAACTTTACCTTCAAACTTTTACATGCAAGTTCATCCATATTCACAGCCATCCTAACTGCCTTTCCTCCTGTCTGCAGGAAGAAAATTTGTCTCTCTCTTATTTGTTCAAAGCTATTTGCTCAAACCACCCCATATTACTGTCCTCTCTTATTCTTTATAGATAACAGAAGAGGCTACATTCACTCTATTTTCTTGACTTCATTTGCTAAACTGTAATACTTGGCTTTCACGTCCTACCTTTTTACAATGCCCTAAAATGTTGCTATTTTATCATCTTGAGTACCTGGCTCCCATTTATTCTCTCTGAATGCTATCTCCTCTGGGTGATTTATGGCTTCAACCACTATATATGTGCTTATCCTCCTCATATTTCTAACCCTGATAACTTTCCTCACGGTTTCACTTAAACAACAGGCACTTAAAATTAACACTTAAAACCAAAATCATAAGCCTCCCACAGAAAACCACCTTTTCCATTTAAATTAATGAAACCTTGACCCAATCAACTACCTAAGAGAAACCCGGGAGTCATCTTAGACTTGCTACCCCATCTAGCACTTTAACTTATCAAGTTTACTTTTTTTTTTTTTTTTTGAGATGGAGTCTTGCTCTGTTGCCCAGGCTGGGGTGCAATGGCGTGATCTCGGCTCACTGCAACCTCCACCTCCCGGGTTCAAGCGATGCTCCTGCCTCAGCCTCCTGAGTAGCTGGGATTACAGTCGCACACCACCATGCCCAGCTAATTTTTCTAGTTTTAGTAGAGATGGGGTTTCACCATGTTGGTCAGGCTAGTCTCGAACTCCTGACTTGTGATCCACCTGCCTCAGTCTCCCAAAGTGATGGGATTACAGGCGTGAGCCACCGTGCCTGGCTCAAGTCTACTTTTTAATCCTTCACTATCCTAAAATATGTCTCCTGTTTTCTATTCTTCTTACTACTGCTTACTTGAGGTCTGGCTTAGACTATTTTTCTTCCTGCTTCTAAGCTTACTCTTTTCTATCTTTCCTCTGTATTGTGGTCAGAAAGATCTCTGTAAACACAAACATGACTGTGTCACTCTCTGGTTAAAATCCTTCAGTAGCTTAAGAAAATTACAAACCCATTCAATAGCATATCATGTAGAAATTAAAATGTACACTTCATAATATAATGGAAAAATACATATGTAACAAAAACACACACACAAAATCTGAGCATAAAAAATCCTGGAAGGAAACATATCTAATTGTTGACATTTGCTATTGTGGGATAGTTGGGTATGATATGATTTAAACTTTTTTCTTTTTACTGCTTCCCTAGAAATAGTAACAATAATAATAATAATAGCAGCAGCTAATACACAATGCTTACTGTGTCCTAAGCCCTGTTAAGTCTTTTAACCCTCATAACATGTGTATTAACCAGGTATTATTCTTACCTTTATAAATCCCTATTAAAAAACTGAAGCACAGAGCGGTTAAATAACTTGCCCACAGTTACAGAACCAGCTAGAACTGGAGCCAGGATTCAAATTTAGGTAATGCTAAATTAATTGTAATGAGCCTGCCATACCTCTCTAACAAAAATGTCCCAAAATACTTTTTAAAGAAACCTTCAAAGGCTCCACATTTTCTAAAAGGTAAAACACAAACTGCTAAGAATAAATGAGTACAAGGTTTTCACTATTTGGCTTTTGTTTATTTTTCCTTCTGCTAACTCCAGCAATAACCTATTATGTTCAGCTTCTATGATATGCCAATGTTTTTTTTTTTTTTTGCTTTTAGTCATTCATGAATAACATTTTCTGAAATGACCCCTATTTCTCAATTGAACTGATCTAACCTTTACTTTTTGTTCAAAATTTAAATATGATAACCTGACTTCCTAATACACAATATTATATATTCTAATGTTGCAACTTAGTATCTTCTGTATTTGCTTACTGACTGCATACTATTACATCGCTTGCAGAGAACCGTCATTTACTGAGCTATTCATCCATTTTTGGCCATAAAAATTGTTTCCAATGTTTTATGAATATAAAGAATATAACGAATGTTATTATAAATATATTCATGCAAATAGAGATTTTCAGTACCCCACATTTTCTCAATTTAGACTTCCAGAAATAGGATTACTGGGTCAAAGGTTACAGACTTATTTTTGACTTCTGAAACATAGCCAAACTGTTTTTTTCAAAGGTCTACATCAACTTATGCTACTACTAGCAATGTTGGAAACTACCATTTTCATTGTACCCATCAGACTGCAGGATTAAAAATGTATTTTAAAATCAATACCTTATACATATAATTTTTAATTATAATATGTAACAATTTTAATTTACTGACACTAAAAATAGAAAATAATATTTTTACTTCTGTAATTTCAGTTACTTAAAGGGTAACTTCTACTGAAAATATTCCCTTATTCCTTTTTCAAACAAGGCAGAATACAGACAAGTTATCAAAAATTTCTACCTGTGTAGTGGTGTGAGGGGTTTGATCTTGGGTTTTTCAGAAGCTGAGGAGAGCGTTTTAATCTGAGGCTTGGCTGTTGGTGATGTTTCCAAATCTTGGCTAAGCTCGGCTTCAGTTTTCTTAATAAATTCATCATATGACTAAGTTTAGAAAAACCAGAGGAGTCACTAGGCAGAATTTTTAAAACTTATTTTAAATTATAAAATAGTATATTTTAAGGTAAAATGCTCAAACAGTAAAGAAGATGTAATATAAAAATCTCCCTCCCTGCCCCCCTCAGCATCATTCTCCAGAACTCTATAGTTATTTGTACATCCTTCTCAAAATAATCTATATATAAGCAAGATATATAATTGTAATTCCAGTATCAATTAAGAAATGACATTGCGAATCTACAGAAGTTTAATACTATGAAGCAATAATTCATACCTTGCCACATTAAAAAACTTCTTTGTATTCTCTAAAGAGTGTACTATTACTTTCATGGTATCTTTAAGAAGTTAGTCATTCTGTTCTGAGTTTCAATAGCAGTAAGTTTCTTATGGGCTAAGTACTTAGGGATACAAATTATGAAAAGAGAAAGATATAGTTGACAGTATGATAGTTGAGAATTACAAAAAAAAAGTTTCCTGGTTATTACCCATTCTGTAAACAAAACTTTACTAATTTATAATTTGTATGAAATATAAGGGGATTCCTCCATTTAATATATCATTCCTTAGTTTTCTGGGCTGAAGTCCTTACTTTTACAGCTCTCACTATTTCAGACTAGTGTTTTGTTCAACACTGTATGTCTGGTACGCAATGTCCTATTCACAATGCCTGGTCCAAAGTAGCCTATCAATAAATATTTATAAAATGAACTAATGGATGGATGGATGCTTGTCAACTGCTACGGTTCCCTAAAATCTGGACTGAAATCACTGTTTTACAACTCTCATCATCCATGTTACCTTCGTCTGAATTGTCAACATTTTTTGTTAAAATAACTCCTGGTATTAAACCTACACCACAGCTAGGTGTTCTAGCTCAATAGGTATATATGAGGACTATGACTACTAAGATCTGAAAGCTATACATATATGAGTGCAGTCCATTTATTAAATCTGTGATCAAATAAAATCCAATAGATTTTTATATGAACTGCTATGTATTTTATATATATATATATATATATGCATATCTCATATACTGTAATTTTAAAAGTTAAATACAGAATTTTCTTTTGTCTTTGTTTATGCCATTAAGTAGAATGCTGGAAGAGATGGATCGTATGGCACTCTCTAGAGGGCTCTTTTCTGACTGACATAGCTATTAAGGTACATTTTTGAGCAATACTATTCATTCTAATAGTACTTTATCTCCAACAGTTATTTCAATGACTCCTCATTAGTTGACGTATAAGATGAAATCCAAACTCATCAGTTTGACTTCTACGGTCCTGAATATAATCTGTATTTTTAAATTTTGTTTCCACTTCTTTCCAGCATGAACTCCTCAGTATGGTCATTGTATCTTAATCACTTTTCCTACTCTAACCATTGTGCAAGTTACAATCCCTATTCCATCTCTGTATTGTGTACCTGTTTAAATGTTTATTTTCTCCAGATCTATTAACAGGCCTATTTTCTGTGTGGAAGACAATACAATGGTAAAGCCACAGAATTTAAAATTAGAGCTAGATTAAAATCCTAGTTTCACCATTTATGAGCTCTGTATCCTTGGATAAATCATTAATCTCACTGAAACTCAGTTTCCTTATCTATAAAACAGGGATAATAATACTCACACCTTGTTGTGAGGATTAAATGAAAAATATGTGTAATTAGCTGAGCTCCTGGCACATAAATAGGCATTTGAATATTTGATGATTAAATTAATAACAGTAGGAGAAGCATGTGTTTGCTGTTACACAACAAGGACCAATGGGTGGAAATTAAAAGGACAGAAATTTTGGCTAAATACAACAAAGAGCTCTTCTAATACTTAGAGCACTTAGAGTCTAACAAGGAAACCAATTAGCTTGAAATTTTGAAAATTCCTATTACTGGAAGTGTTCAGGTAGAAGTTGAATGATGTTCTCTGGTGATGAGATGAGAAGGGATTCTTGCAATGAGTAGGAGATTCAATCTGATTCTACAATGAATGTCCTGTTCTAGGAACACCGGGCTGGCAGAATGTGTGTAATAGAGAAACAGAATGTGTGTAACAGAGAAGCAGAATGTGTGTAATAGAAAAGCAGTATGAGGCAGAACATCTAAGAGACTACGCAGACAGTAGAGGCAAGAGGTCATAAGGGCCCCAGCTAGCCTGGAAGCAGTAGGAATGGAAAGGGACAAACAAGAAACTTTATAGAAGAATCCATGAGAACTAGTGACTGAATTGGACAGGAAAGAACAGAATAAGGAAGACATCAAAATCAGGTTCCCAGCCTGGGACAGACTCAGAAAGGCTGCTACGGCTTGGGGGAAAATTCAAGTTAAGAGTTATCAATTAGAAGCTATTCAAATAGCACAAAGAAGTGTACTATTTAATAGGTTGTGTGGCATGAAACACCATTCTGTGAAATAAGGGAAGGGAAGGGGAAAGGGGAAGGGAAAGGGAAAGGGGAAAGGGGAAGGGGAAGGAGGAAAGAAAAGGAGAAAAAAAGGGGACAGGGAAGAGGGAAGGAAGAGGAAAGAGGAAAGGGGGAAGGGAAGCAGCAACAATTCCAAAAGCTAAAATTATTTATCTAATACTTCTCTGCTTACAAGGGTATAGACACCAATCTTTCTTTCAAAGGCCTAATCTTTCTTATTTAGAAAAAAAAAATCTAATACTTTATTTTAATATTTATTTTTTAGAGGTGGAGGTCTTGCTATGTTGCCCAGGCTGGAATGCAGTGGCTATTCACAGGTGCAATCATGGTGCACTACAGCCTCAAACTCCTGGCTTCAAGCAATTCTGCCTCAGCCTCCTGAGTATCTGGGACTTCAGGAACACACCACTATATGTAGCCAATTTTAATATTTAATACTTGTTATTTTAATATTTAAATTTAAAATTTAATGTTTTGGCTGGGCGCAGTGGCTCACACCTGTAATCCTAGCACTTTGGGAGGCCGAGGCAGGGGGATCACGAGGTCAGGAGATCGAGACCATCCTCGCTAACACAGTGAAACACTGTCTCTACTAAATATACAAAAAATTAGCCGGGCGTAGTGGCGGACGCCTGTAGTCCCAGCTACTCAGGGGGCTGAGGCAGGAGAATGGCGTGAACCCAGGGGGCGGATCTTGCAGTGAGCAGAGATCGCGCCACTGCACTCCAGCCTAGGCGACAGAGCGAGATTCCATCTCAAAAATAAATAAATAAAATAAAATTTAATGTTTTAAGCAAGAATGTCCTTGGATACCCTCAGATTTTTTTTAAGAGAATAAAATGTGGCACCACACTAATAATGAAGAATCCTAATCCATTACTTTATTAACAACATTAAAAACATTTTAGACGTCACATACACATTAGCCTTGATACTAAACCCCCTTCTTCCTATGTCTAACCTCTAACTGCTTGATCAGACTGGCTTCTTGGGCTTTCAGTCTTTCCTTTTGCCTTTTTTTCTGTTCCTTCTTCAGCTGGTTCACAACTGATTTTCTTTTCCGCAACTCATCCTTCAGAGCTCTGATCCTACCTTCAATATCACTCTGGTCAGATGTAGTTTCTGAAAGAGATACAAAATCTTTTATTTATAATTTTGACTTAAGAATAATGTTAACTCAGTAACTACTAATAAAAAGCTGTAATGTAATATTCCATTTAAATAAAGCCAATCTAATAATTAAAATATGAGCTTCGGAAGAAGATTTATTACTAAAATGTATCCCTATAATTCCCACCCTCCCCGCCGCCCGCCACATACACTTTATTTTTGGCTTGGTTCCTCCTATTTATTTTCACTTTCTAATTGTACTACTTGAAATTATAAATAAATCTTGAGATACGCTGTCTTGGTAAGACATGCAGCTGGAAGTTGAGAAATTTTTAGATTGATGAAATTTGGATATTCTGCAAGAAATTACTTCTGGTAACAAGATAATCATATTTAACTGTCTTTTGCCTTAGTTATTAATACATAATTTAATAGTTTTTAAGTCATATTAAAATCAAACTAGAGTTTTACCACTTCAAATTGCTTGTGATTCATTCCCTGATGGCTTAATACCACATTAAAAAGAGAGAAGTTATAAAGAAATAGACTCTGCTGTAATCTCTCTTTGAAAGCTCTCAAAATATTTAAAATAACTGAAATGAAGCTAGTTAAATCTTTTCTCTCCAACAGTTCACATACACAAGACGTCTACTCATAGCAACATCATGAAAAAGATATTTCATTATAATGTGTCATACACATGCTATGAAAACAAACAGGTATCATTTAAAGACACTGCTTATTTCACTACACATGGAAATTACATAGGATAGAAATTACTGTTCCTCACACCTCCCTCAATCACACAATGGTGTCATTTCCATATACTAATGTTGAGTGAGACATTTAATAGTCTTACAACAGAAATAATATACACAAATCTTAAGACTTAACATCACATCAAAAACCAGGATTTTATCAGTTACTTCAGATTAAACCGTGTAAGAGCTAGTTATGGAAGTTATTTAAATGCAAAAAGATTACAGTCTTTTTAATAGTGTGGTCTAAATGTCTGAATAAGAAATAATAAAATCTGAGTTCCTGTCACTTCTATGACACTGAGTTAAGACATACTAGGAAAGTTAGGCTTGTTTTATATTAGTGGTGGCATCATACTGAGTCCTTAGCATAGGCAAGGCTCAATATTTACTTATGTGCTTCCAAAATTATTATTATTTTGGTAAGATTTTGTACACCACTACACTCTTACAGGCTTAGTTTCAATTTTGCCCCCAAAATAACTATTTTAAATTAATATTTTTAAAAATTGTATATGCCAGCAGTGATTTTCAATAAAAAATATATTTACCATCTATGGTTGAAGATTTAATAGCAGGTGATGAAAAACCTGGGGTTTTTAGATGAAAGACCTTGGAAAATGTTTATGTTTTTAAGTACTAAAGAAACCAAATGCAGTCCGGGCGCACTGGTTCGTGCCTGTAATCCCAGCATTTTGGTAGGCAAAGGTGGGCAGACTGCTTGAGGTCAGGAGTTTGAGACTACCCTGGGCAGCATGGCAAAACCCCATCTCTACCAAAAATACAAAAATTAGCCAGGTGTGGCAGCATGCGCCTGTAGTCCCAGCTACTCAGGAGGCTGAGGCGGGAGTTTCTGATTATTTGACACACACTGATTATATTAGCTTGGTTGATAAACTCTCCCATCATTTAAGTAAAGGTATTATAACTCTACTACATTAATATCTACCACTTCTACAAATACTGAATATAAATAATGTCATCTTGAATAGGTAGTGAATCTGTAGTTTAGAAACCTCAGAGCTACTTTTCTAAAACCATTTATTCTTACTTAAATAAGTGTCACCAATAAAACAGTATCTTACAAATGTTATTATTAATCCTTGGTGCATAACTCATGCAAGGATGGTTGAAACATTATTCCATTGCTAACAAATGAAAAAGATAATCCAGTATTGGCAAAGAAACTTGAAGAAAGTCACCGGTAAGTAAGAGATCCAGGATAAGAACCCATGTTTCCAAGTATTCAAGTTTATGTCTACTGACATGTTATTCTCTTGGAAGTAATTTTTCACCAACGTACATAAAAGCAAATATATAAAAACATTAGTAAATTTCCACAGAGAAATATGAGACAACTTTCTTCAACTGGCCTGACTCAATGATTCTATTCCTAAGAATCTATTCCACACTGAAATATACAAAAAGAATTTTTATTATACATGATAAACACACACATAAATGATATATGATATCACATACACATGTGAGTCATAATATTTTTACTACACCTTTTCTATGTTTAGATATACAAATACTTAACATTGTGTTACAACTGCATATAGCATTCAGTATAGTAATATACTGTACAGGTATTACAGCCTAGGAGCAAGAGGCTATACCATATGTCCTGAGAGTGCAGTAAGGCTACACAATCTAGGTTTGCCTAAGTTCATTCTACGCAGTTCATATAATGATGAAATTGCTTAATGACACATTTCTCAGAGCATATCCTGGACGTTAAGTGATGCATGACTGCATACATATGTGTGTGTAAATCTTTAAATAAAGATGTTTATTATAGCATTATTTGCAATTGTGAAATATTTAAGAAAATCTAAATAGCCATCACTAGGGAAACAGTTAAATAAATTATGGTACATCTACTCTTTGAAATATTATATAGTTACTCAAAGAAGAAAGAAGAGCTGTAAACATGGGTGTAGGAAAATTCCATGATTTATAATTGTCTGACACATGGAAAACAAAAAGGTACAACACATAATTAATTACCAAAAAAAACCCAAAGAATAACAATTTTCATGTTTCGTTTACTAAATGTTTACTCTCAAAACTAAAACTGAATTCAAAAAGCAGTACAGTGGGCCGGGTGCAGTGGCTCACGCCTGTAATCCCAGCACTTTGGGAGGCCGAGACGGGTGGATCACCTGAGGTCAGAAGTTTGAGACCAGCCTGGCCAACGTGGTGAAACCTCGTCTCTACTAAAAAAAAAAAAATACAAAAATTAGCCAGGCGTGGTGGCGGGTGCCTGTAATCCCAGCTTCTCGGGAGGCTGAGGCAGGAGAATTGCTTGACCCTGGGAGGCGGAGGTTGCAGTGAGACAAGATCGCACCACTGCACTCCAGCCTGAGTGACACAGTGAGACTCTGTCTTAAAAAATAACAAAAAAAGCAATACACTGAATATGCCTAACTCGATATATTCAATATGGCAATATTCAATATGGTATTAATCTTCTTCACAATCCTACATAAACTCACCACTGTCTGTCTACATATGCTTCCTAAGGTCAACAAACTCCTTGAAGCCTTTTAGAGTAAAGGCTGTTCAAATACAACACAAATAAAAACTCCTCATGATTAGTCTTACCTGACTGTGTCATAGATAATGACTCATCTGACCAACTATAACAGTGCTGATGGGACTTGATAGGCAGGTGACATTGTCCTCCAGTCCTATGACTTCCTTTGCTAGACTCCTGCTTTGACACAGATGTGCAGCTTTTGGGAAGTGACTGTTCAAACAGAAAACCAAATGGAAACTATTTTTTGATATAATTGTAAAATTCTATTTAAAATTTGACATACTAGCCATATAAAGATAACATTTACAAAGAATTTAAGATAACTGTTAAGACATAAGTGAAAAAAGTTTACAAATTATTCAACCTGGGAAAGCTGATTTTTAAAAAAAGGTTACAAATTATATAAAGGATAAGACCTCATTTTTTTTTGAAGGCATAGAAAAAAATTATAAAAGAGCATGGTTTAAAAAAGTTTTACAATAAATTAGAAGTGATTATTGTGTCAGTAATATTTACCGCCCCCCTCCATTCTTTTAATTTTAAAAATACTCAGTATGTACTACTTTTACGGAAAGGAGAGAGGAAGGGAAGAAGAAAACAGAGCGTAAGAAGTTTGCCCACAAGAGAACAAAAGACAAAATTTCTATCCTGACATCAGGTGGAAGTGAGATGCCTGATTTGATTCCTAGCTACTATCACTTCCTATCCCTGTGACTTTGGGCAAATTTCCTAGCTTGGGGATTAGAACAGTATCTATTTTATAGGATTCTTGCGAGGGTTAAATGAGATAATCCACGTAAGGCACTTGGTAAGTACTTCGTAAATAAACACTTAATAAATATTAGCTTTTATTATAAAAACCACTTTAAGACATACTAGTTTTGATTTCCTTGATATATTTTCCTGTGAAAAAAGCTCTAATTTTTAATAGCCAGTTTGTGGCTATTCCAAGCCTCATCAATAATGATGCTAGGTAGAATCTAATTGATTTATAAGAGATAATAAACTTTTAAGATTGTATAAAGGCAGTTTGATTGTAAATTCCTCGAAGGTAGAAATTTACGGAATAAAAGATAATGCTATAAGTAAATTATCTATATAAGTCTAATATTATCATATAATAAGAAACCACTAATATAATTATTAAAAGCCTTTAATAACCTAAAAATGCTGATTTCAAGTATGTGCACAAGGACATTGAAATATTTTTTAACATAATATTTAATAGGCTCTTCAATGAATAAAATATGTTTTTCTTCTAGATCTTCTAGGTGCTGTAACACAAATGAACCTGATTGACTTTTCAATGGGGAAACAAAATTAATTCTTTCTATCACAATAAAAATGGAAGACTCCAACAAAGAATATTCCATTCTGAATTTGGGCAGATCTTTTTTTAAACATAAAGAGGCTTTAACAACATCTGTGTATACTTTAGTATACCACAGTATACTAAATATTTAATATTGTTATGCTAATTATTTGCTATATTAAAAAAAAAAAGAGTTAAGTTTCTATCTTGAGTTTTTACCAGCTAGTTTTTTTTTCTATAAAGTACACGATTAAGGACAATGTAGAAAATCTTAGTTTAATAATGGCCATCATCTTAATTTAAAATCAATAACTGTTTCAGAGCTGCCTTTAAGAGGCTAAACCATTACTTTTATTCTATGAGTTATACATAAGTTATTAATTCAGTTACAGTAAAGGTACTCTGGTGTGGTTTAAGATCTTACTGTTTTTGTTATGTGAAAAAACAAATTTCAGAAAGAACTTGTGTTGTTCCTACAAACTGTTTTTCATAAAGACTTTAGAAGTTCCTATTCCCTCAATATTCACAGACTTGATAGCAAATGATTTTATAACCTTCACTAATGCCAAAATTCATATATTTGTAAATGAAAAGCTTTATTTCTATTCAAATGTTATATCCTATATGTTACAAGTATGGTGACAGTTAACACTGTCATTAATTACAATAATATAACTGCTAACATACCTTTCAGTTTTTTTTCTAGAGAATCTTTAAGATATAAATATACATTAACTTACATGTTTACTAGGAGAGGTAGAAGATTCTAGTTCCTGTGAACAAATCATTTCTTCAGTAAGTATACTGTGATCTGGACTCCCTGGCTGCTCCTGTCCTATAGACTCGGATGGTACATATTCAACAGCAGGGCTGCCTAATTCTTCTGGAATGGAGCTTTCACTGTTTAGATGAGAGTACAGAGGTACTGGAGATTCCTCTTCACTTGCTATTTCTAGACAGAGAAGGTGAAAACAAGAAAAAAAAGATACAATCTTGGTCAATGGGAAAATTACACTAATAAACATTGTTTTTAGCATATTATTACTTACTGCATTTTTGTCTCCCACAAACAGGAGAGTCATAGCTTCCACAGATGCACAGATCTATTTCTGGGTTATCTATTTCACAGTCTATTTGTCTCTCTCTGTGCAAATGTTATTATTTTAATCACTACACCTTAGAAGTCTTGATGTATGGTAAAGTAAGTTTCTGCATTTTGTGGTTCTTTAGTAGTGTCTTTGCTTTTTGGTCCTTGTTCTTTCATGTAATTTTTTTTTTTTTAAGATGGCATCCCGTTCTTGTTGCCCAGGGTGGGGTGCAGTAGCATGATCTCGGCTCACTGTAACCTTCGCTTCCCGGGATCAAGTGATTCTGTTGCCTCAGCCTCCCAAGTAGCTGGGATTACAGACACATGCCACCACACCCAGCTAATTTTTGTCTTTTTAGTAGAGATGGGGTTTCACCATGGCGGCCAGGCTGGTCTCCAACTCTGACCTCAGGTGATCCACCCGCCTCGGCCTCCCAAAGTGCTGGGATTACAGGCGTGAGCCACCATGCCCAGCCTCATATAAATTTTTTAATGAGCTTGACAAAGGTTTCCTATGAAGAAACCTTGCTGGGTTTCTGATGTAAATAGTCTTGAATCTACAGATCAGTTTAAGGAGAATTAATATCTTATGACACTGAATCTGTGAATATGGAATAATGTTCCATTTATTTTGGCTTTTTTTTTTTTTTTTTTTTACTTTTTGAGACAGGGTCTTGCTTTGTCACCCAGGCTGGAGTGCAGTGGCACGAACAGGTCACTGCAGCCTCGACCTCCCAGGAACAAGCAATCCTCCTGCCTCTGCCCCCTAAGTAGCTGGGACTACAGGCCTGCGCCACCATGCCCGGCTAATATTTCTGTAGAGGCAGTGTTTGGTCATGTTGCCCAGGCTTGTCATGAACTCTTGAGCTCAAGTGATGTATGTGCCTTGGCCTCCCAAAGTGTTGGGATTATAGGTGTGAGCCACTGTGCCCAGGCTGTTTTGGTTTTAATGTCTCCTAATAAAATTCTAAATTTTTCTATATAAAGATCTTGTACACTTTTTGTTAAATTTATTCCTAAGTACTTCATATTTTTTGTTTCTATTATATATTGTTTCTATTTGTATCTTTTTTAAAAAATATATTTTTCTAATCAATTTTTGCTGATGTATAGATATGCAATTGAATTTTGTATATGAATTTTATAACCAGAAACCTTGCTAAGCTCACTTATTAACTGTAATAATTAACATGTAAATTCTGGATTACCTATGTGTATAGTTTTATTAACTGTAAGTAATGAGAATTTTGCTTCTTCTCACTCCTTATAGCTTTTAATTCTTTTTCTAGCCTTAAATGTACTGTGTAGGACCTCTACACAATGCTGAACAGAGCTAAAAATAAGCCTCCTTGTCTTATCTCCAAATCCAAAAGAACTTTCTATATTTTATCATTAAGTACGGTATCTATTATAGGTTTGGTTTTTTGTTTTTGTTAATACCTTTTATCAGGTAAAGAAAGTTCCTTTCTATGGCTACTATGATCTGAGGTTTATTTATTTTATCACAAATGCTTTTTATTTTTATTGATTCATTTTTTTGAGACAGAGTCTCACTCTGTCACCCAGGTTGGAGTGCAGTGGTATGATCTTAGCTCACTGTAACCTCTGCCTCCTGGGCTCAGGTGACTTTCATGTCTCAGCCTCCTGAGTAGCTGGGACCACAGGTGTGTGCCACCATGCTCAACTAATTTTTTTATTTTTGGTAGAAACGGGGTTTTACCATGTTGCCCAGGCTGGTCTCAAACTCCTGGGTTCAAGTGATCCACCCACCTCAGCCTCCCAAAGTGTTGGGATTACAGGTGTGTCTGGCCCACAAATGCTTTTTAAATTTTATCAAATGTCTTTCTGAATCCATTGAGATGATCAATTTTTCTCCTTTAATCTGGGTAAGGTAATTCACCACATTATCAACTTTTTAATGTGTGCTAATCCTACTCTGTCATTAAGTATTAGGATTTGCATATATAGTTGAACTTGGTGTGCTAATACATAATTCAGGATAGGTAAGATTGGCCTTTCCTTTTCTGATACTGTCCTTTTATGGACATAACATCAAACTTATATACTAGCCTCATAAAATGAGTTGAGAAATGTCTCTTTTTCTATTCTATGGAAAAGTAAAGAACTATAATACCAGGTTTTCCCCCAACTGCCGCCTTTAATCTAGTATACTGGTAAAGATGGATGAGGTCTATGTAAAAAGATGCTTAGTTACTGGGGTACAATTCCTTTACTGGTGAAAGAATCAGGAGGGTTCTCTTATCTTACTGAGTAAGCTTTGGTAAGTTGTATTTTTTAGAAGAATTTAGCCATTTTTTCTAAGTTTTCAAGTTTGTATTGGAATAAAGTTATTACAATTTTTTTTTTTCCTTGAGATACGGAGTCTCGCTGTTGCCAGGCTGGAGTGCAGTGGTACGATGTTGGCTCACTGCGACCTCCACCTCCTGGGTTCAAGCAATTCTCCTGCCTCAGTCTCCCAAGTAGCTGGGATTACAGGTGTGTTCCACCACACCCAGCTAATTTCCTTTGTATTTTAGTAGAGACGGGGTTTCACTGTGTTGTTCAGGCTGGTCTCAAACTCCTGAGCTCAGGCAATCCACCTGCCTCGGACTCCCAAAGTGCTAAGATTACAGGCATGAGCCACCGCGCCTAGCCACAATTTTTTTTTTTCTAATTTCTCCAGCATTTGTGGTTATATCATCTTTCTCATCATTTGCATCACCTCAATCATTTGCATTTTAATTTTATTTTATTTTTAGAGACAGAGTCTCACTCTGTCACCCAGGCTGGAGCACAGTGGGGTTGATCATAGCTCTCTGTAACCTTGATCTCAAGCAAGCCTCTTGCCTCAGTAGCTAGGACTATAGGCATGTACCACCACACCCAGCTAATTTTTTAATTTTTTGTAGAATCAGGGTCTGCTATGTCATCCAGGCTGGTCTTGAACTCCTGGCCTCAGGCGATCCTCTGGCCTTGGCCTTCCAAAGTGTTAGGATTACAGGCGTGAGCCACTGCGCCCAGCCTCGCATTTTTAAAAGTAATGAAATATATCTTTCAATTATGTTAGGCTTTAGTTTGTAGTGTGAACAGAGTTAGTATTTATTACCTTTCTGTTCTGTTCTCTGGTCCTCCAGTTCTTTCTTAGGAGTTTTGGGTTTTATTAATTCTTTGTCCCAGGCAGCCAAAGCTTGTTTTTCCATTTGACGAATTTCTGCTTCTTCTGCATCTAAACGTCGCTTCCACTCTAGGAGCTCCTCTGCATGTTGTCGCCGTTGCATTAATTTTTGCTCCCGCTTTGTCAGAAACCTATGGTCACACCATGAAGAACAGTTTGAGAGAAAAAACCTATATGCAGAGATCACTTTGAGAGCTCTATCACTCACCACCTTATCAACAAGCTGTGCAAAAGCAGAACATTCATACTACTCTTCTCTCTGAAAAAAGCTTGAGATAATAGAAGCTTTCATGAGTCAACTTGTTCAGAAAATGAGGGAATTTATGTTTTACTCATAATGGTTTGTAAAGTTAGCAAAGGAAAGATAACAGTATATTCAGGAAAAAAACCTTCAGAATATCTAGACAACCATAATTGATAATGTTCATATTTAGATATTCATTTTTTGTAGGTTATTCTTTTCCATAACAGAAGATGTAAGGAATGTATTCTGAAGGCTCAGACCAGAAAACACACAAAACCCGAAACAACAAATACCAAAAACAACAATAAAAAACAAACCCCAAAGCCCCAAAACAAGCAAGCAAACAAAAAACATGTTCATGTCCCTTTTTTACTTTTATTTTAAATTTCTGCCTGGCTTTGTTTCAGGTCTAATGAGTTTTGTTTCTTCATTACCTAAGAGATACAATGTCAAGTGGTAAATCTTTTTTTTCATGGAGAGAACACTGAGTACCACAGTCCATGTCTTATGCATATAAACGTAACTATTTATTTACTTGAGTAAAGGGATGCATCAAATTCTCAATTTAACCTGATTTCTGAACTTAAATAGCCAATGATATCTTAGGCCCAGAGGGTTAGGAGAAATTACTGAGTTAGGAAAAATTACTTAGTTTAGAGGCTACTAATAAACCATCTTCAAATGTAGATGCCACAACTAAATAAAATGTGGGCTGCTCACATTACTAGTGTTACATCTATAGTGGTAGCTAACCAAGAAAAATGCGTACATGTATCGCACAAACACTTACTAAAAAGCACAAGAAGAGCTGTCACTCTACTTCTTGAGCCATCATCATGTCAAATTAATGTGGAAACAAAAGGTAAAATTTATGGGACATTTGATAAGAGGCCTCCAGGCTATTAAAAAAAAAGAGAGAGAGAGAGAAAAGCAAACAAAACAAACAAAAAGAACAGAGCATGCTCTATCAAAGAGTGCACTGAAAAAGGTGCAAAGTTACCTGACCAACTGGTTGTAGATATACAGCTGGAATTTGGGATGAAGGTTGGGAAAACAGACACTGAGAGAGGCCCAGTGATGAGACGTAAAGACAGAGAAGAAGTAGTGAACAGGAGAGCAGTGTCTACAAAATAAGGAGGAAGATTTTAAAAACAAGAGATCAAGAGGCAGGAAGAATGAGAAAGGGAAAGCGTAAGAGCTGAGTGAAGAACTTTTAATATGCTTCCTGAAGAACATTATAAGTGACTCAGTTAAAGCAGGCATTACACTCTGTGTGACATTTTTAAAAGTGTATTTTTATAGATCTTACCAATGATTCCTGAATAAACATGCCTTTCTTCTCATATGTTGCTTAACCACCATCTATATTTTCAGTTAAATTTACTTATTTGTAAGTAAAGTAATAAGAAGTACATTGTGGGACTAAATTAGTTTTCAATTAAGCTTTAACAGACAGTACAACAATTATGGCCATGAACCTAGTATATCAGCAACTCTACACACATATGTAATCCTGAGCAAGTGATTTTTAATCTGTACCTCATCATGTATTTTAAAATACTACATTTGCCTTACTTAACCTTACCATCACAATCTAGCTTGAAAATAATACAATTTAGTAAACTGATTTACACAAAAATACCTTGTTCACCTCCACAATATAAAACTTACTGCTAACAGGACCTACTGGAGGTATCTTGCTTTATATCTAACAAAGGCCCACTTAATTAATAATATTGAAATACACTATCCATTCTATAAGATATCAGGATGCATAATTAATAAAGTGAGCTAGTCCCAATAAATAGTCAGTAGAAAAAAAAACCTGATATGGACAGCTCAATCATAAGGTTAAAGGTAAGAAGAACATTCCATTTTACAGTTATAAAAGCAGGAAAAAACATATTTTCTTCTTTTGTAATAATAAATAGATCCGTGCGTGTGTGTATGGATTAAAAAGTCTAGTAGTACCTTTGGAAAGGTTAATTCTCTTTGACAGAGCATGCTCCTGTTCACATGCACATGACAATAACTTGTAGATCAAGGCAACATTTATTGCCTTGGAAGGGCAAGGAGTAATATCAGTATGTCATAGAAGTGAGAAAATCTAGGTATAAATCCAGCCATTCACTTGGATTTGTAAAATTATGTATAATCTTGCCTATGTGTATTTTTAGACAACAGACTATTTTAATGTCTGTTTCCTCACATATAACTTAGTATTTCATTTCCCCTTCACTTACACACACATACACACACGCAAAAACACACATATTCATATCTGGATTGCCTTGATTTTCTGCACTGAAATTCAAGAAAAACAGTTTTGCTAAATTTCAAGTTAAGACATTACAATCTTCCTTGCCATTCTTTATGAACGTACAATAAACTTATTTTGATGCCAATTATCAAAATATTATGCAAAACAAAGGCACTTGGCAAAAGGCTCAAAAAATCTATTCATAACATTCAAATATCACCCACCCTCTTAAGTGTATAACTGCTAAATGCATGCATGACCTAGTACAAAAAGTAAAATAATATTGGAACACGTGAAATAAACTTTAAAAATAGACAATTTAAATTTTTTCTCTAGCCCAACACAGAGACCAATAATTTTCCTCTATTAAAGATTAAGCATATTCCAAAGCTCTAGTTTAGGAATGAGGAACGAAATAACTAATAGAAAATGAAAATAGTTTAAAAAACAGAGTAAGAAAAGTTTAACTTAAAGTTAGAACTTCTTTCCATAAACATGTTCCTTATTAAATATAAATACATCCTTATATAAGGAGTGTAAATATAAATACATTCCTTATAGGAGTGCTCTTTAAACGTTGAATAAAGTTGAGATGAAAGAGCATTACTTCACAATAGAATTAATAATCCTTCAAGATGCTACACAGGAAAGAAATAAAAATTGTGAATGATGGAGACATAAATGCCGACTAATACAAAATGCTTTTGATTGATGTCAAGGCATTTCCCCAACAAGTCCTCTGATGGTAACGGAACACTGGACAAGAATAAGATATACAACAGATTTAGTCTAGTATGGAAATCATTATGTTTCTAAAATGTTTGAACTTAAGGAATTAATGAGTACTTAATTCGCTCTTTTTTTTTTGAGACGGAGTCTTGCTCTGTTGCCCAGGCTGGAGTGCAGTGGCACCATCTCAGTTCACTTCAACCTCCACCTCCCAGGTTCAGCGACTCTCTTGCCTCAGTCTCTGAAGTAGCTGGGGTTAAAGGCACCTGCCACCATGCCCGGCTAATTTTTGTATTTATTTTTTTAGTAGAGACAGGGTTTCACCATGTTGGCCAGGCTGGTCTTGAACTCCTGACCTCAGGTGATCCATCTGCCTTGGCCTCCCAAAGTGCTGGGATTACAGGCCTGAGCCACCGCGCACAGCTTAATTCACTTTTTAAATTTTTTTTTTTTTTTTTTTGAGATGGAGTTTCACTCGTGTTGCCCAGACTAGAGTGCAATGGTGCGACCTCAGCTCACTACAATCTCCGTCTCCCGGGTTCAAGAGATTCTCCTGCCTCAGCCTCTTGAGTAGCTGGGATTACAGGCGCGCATCACCACGCCCGGCTAATTTTTTGGATTTTTAGTAGAGATGGGGTTTTACCATGTGGGCCAGGCTGGTCTTCAACTCCTGACCTCAGGTGATCCACCCTCCTCGGCCTCCCAAAGTAGTGGGATTACAGGTATGAGCCACCGTGCCCGGCTTTATTCACTTTTTTTTTTTTTTTTTTTTTGAGATGGAGTCGTGCTCTGTCGCCAGGCTAGAGTGTAATGGCATGATCTTGGCTCACTGCAACCTCCAACTCCCTGGTTCAAGTGATTCTCCTGCCTCAGCCTCCCAAGTAGCTGGGATTACAGGCACGCGCCGCCATGCCCAGCTAATTTTTGTATTTTTAGTAGAGATGGGGTTTCACCATGTTGGCCAGGTTGGTCTCGATCTCCTGACCTCGTGTTCTGCCCACCTCGGCCTCCCAAAGTGCTGGGATTACAGGCGTGAGCCACGGCACCTGGCCTTAATTCACTTTTAAAGTCACACTTTCACACTCTGAACTTGCTCTGTACAGCTATTCAACTCCAGTAATTAGCCATCTAGCACTTTGCTAATTTCAACAAAATACTATTTAGAAGGATCAGTTTCTAATGAAGATAACTTTAAGTCATCAATTTAGGTTTTAAAAAAATCTATGAGGTTGAAAGCAGATACGCTAACTTAACTTTGACTTTAGCTAGCTGAACTCTGGAGAACAGAGTTCTAGTTTCAGCTCTGCCATTCTGCTGTGTGTGTGTGACCTGAGGAAAGTTACATAAACTCTGTGGGCCTCAATTTCTTCATGTAAAACAAAGGGACTTTATTTTATGGCTTCCCTAAGAGCCCTTCCAATTTTAACATTTTATGACTCTTTCTCCGTTGGAATATTTCCACTTATTTTGTACCTCAAAAGACTGCCAGACCGTGTGACTGCTAGACCATGTGACGTTAAATGAGACCTTTTGTTGCCCACCGAGCTGATATAATTGTCGCCTGCATTCTAACAGATTATAAAATCATTCTATAATTTGAATAAAATTATAAACTAAATTTTAAGTGGAACTCCTAGGTCTAAAAATCCTTTCATTATAAAAGATATCGAAAACAAAATCTTAATACCTTCACAGAAGAAACATTTACAGTTCTATATTTGTTTAGGATGTTACTGTGCTTCCATTATCATTTGTTTCTCCATTGGAATACCAAGGAGTCCATGGATACCCTGGAATTGCATGTAAAGTTGTATATATGTGTGTACATACATTTTTCTGAGGCAAGGTTCCAAAACATTCATCTAATTTACAAGCGAACTCAAGATCCCCAAAAAGTTAAGAATCACTGCTCTATTTGTACTGACCTTGAAGAAAATTATTGCTGCTTTATTAGTGAATCCTTATGCAATGCTATGTATCCCCAAACTAGTGAGACTACCTAGCTAAACTAAAACACTACTTTTTACTCTTCCCAAAACAAAACTTACAAAAACTTAGTACCTTAAATCATTTTATTCCTTCTGGGTTTTTAATTCTATTACTGTTATAATTAAAAATGGAACATAGTGCTTTACATTTTAAAATGGATTCTTTTGAGTACTTTAGCATCTTTAATAATATAAAAACAGGAGGATAAATGAGGATACAGATAGTTCTGACTGAAAAGAAAATGTAGCTTAGGTATGATTTTCTATAGCAAAATCTATTCTATTACTTAAAATTATCTAATAATTTACATACACCTAAGTAAACAAAATAATACAGCACATGATTCCTGACCTAGGAATTCCTGCAGAGAATAAAAACAAAGTATCAGACTATCAGGATTTATTCAGCTACTACACATAGACTAGAATGTTGTCTAAGAAATTTCTATTCAATTTGAGGCAATGCTATTTAACATTATTATTTAAGACAATCTAATTAAAATATCTCCTTTAATGGAATATCAAAAGCCTTCTCTTGAAAATCCTTCATTTTTAAAATTCAGATTAATGGTGAAGATTTCGACATTGATCAGACACTATAATAAGTACTTTTGGACAGAGAAATGTCATAAAATATTTATTTGCTTAACTTTTTGATCAATCATTTAAAACCAAATACATTAATTTTTCTCCTTTAACAGTTTTGTAAGCCAACTGGGAAGTGTAAAAGGAGTATTTAAAATGTTTTGTGACTAAAGGCTTCATCTTTCTATGCTACCTCGGTCTGCAATGAATGACCAAACCAAAAAATAGCTAAATACTTTCTGCCCCTTCTTTTTATGTTTGAAAGTACTTACTAATTCAACAGTATATTTAACTCCCTCAGGAGGCTGAGTGGGGAGGATCACTTGTACTGAGGAGTTTGAATCCAACCCTATCCTGGGCCACATAGTGAGACTCTTAAAAAAGTACACTCATCCATGAAAATGTCCTTGACATATATCATACTGTCAGTAAGAATTTCTCTTTTCTGAACTTCCTTAACAATTGATCTAGATATACTTCTCTATGTGAAGCTGTCCTCATTCTTTTTTCTGTCTACACTCTAAGCTTGAGAACAGGGCTTAAGTCTGATTTATCTTGGTATCCCTCAGCACTTAGCATACTCACACATTAATCAATAAACAATTGCTGAGAGAGTAAGTGTATAATTAATAAATAATATGGAAGAAGAAGCTACTGTTAACAAATGAAAGAAAAAATGCAGTGTCCTATTTTAAGTAATGAAACACTTAAAGATGAAGAAAACTCCATTCTTTCAGTGTTTCACTTGTTCCATAAACAGGAACAGTCAATTGCATGGTGTTTTTTCATGAATATCTGTTTCATGTTTATAGGCAATCCACTTAAATTGTAAATAATATCCCTCACAGTAATAAAACTCAGATTTCACTTAACAATAAAACCAAAAACATTGAGAGCTATTCAGTTCATGGCTTAGATCTACTGTATGTCTTTTGCAAACATGTTTTCATTATTATTAATGTCTTTCACATTTTGAATATTATTTTTTGCTTTTTACTATACTGATAAATGGAAATTATATGACATTTATAAAATGTCTACTCAACAAAGAGGTCAAGAAAAGCCATATGTTAGGAATATAACATATGGTTTTTAATATTCAACAAAGGCATTACTGTCTCAGTAAAATATTAAAAAAGGAAATCTTTCACTATAGCCAAAAATGATATGATCACTTCAGAAAAATATCTGTCATATAATCAGAGTTCAGAAAGTTATAAAATGAAAAGGTTCCCACTAAAAACTAGCTAAACTTACTGAGAAGGACGACTACTCTTTGGTGATTTATAACAATAAAATAGGAATGACTGCCTTTGCAAATCTATGGAACAACTAAGTTCCTAGTCATGAAGTAGCAGAGGTTCAAATGATTTTGTTGTTCACGAAGTAGCAGAGGTTCAAATGATTTTGTTGTTAGGTGTCTACCATAGCGAATGACTATGAAATTAACTGACTTCCTATTTATTGAGCTGACACTCCAACATCATTGAAGGAGATCAAACTATGGTGCTCCGGTAATATAAATGGTATTTAAAAGCTAGTTTTCACATTACTTTGTTTCAGAGACCAAAAAATAGTATATAACAATATTCTTCCTTTCCTATGCACCACCAATTTCGGAAAATACTTTAGTTCATCCTCAGATTTCTTTTTTTTTGAGACTAAGTTTTGTTCTTGTTGCCCAGGCTGGAGTATGGCGGCATGAGCTCAGCTCACTGCAACCTCCCCCTCCCAGGTTCAAGTGATTCTCCTGCCTCAGCCTCCAGAGTAGCTGTGATTACAGGCATGTGTCACCAGGCCTGGCTAATGTTGTATTTTTAGTAGAGATGAGGTTTCACCATGTTGGCCATGGTTGGTCTCGAACTCCTGACCACAGGTGATCTGCCTGCCTCGGCCTCCCAAAATGCTGGGATTACAGGCGTGAGCCACCAGGCCCGGCCTCATCCTCAGATTTCAGCACCATCATTCAAACATTTCTTTGCCACTACTGCCTTTACTCTATTCCTATCACAAACACAATTTCATTGCCTCAAACAGATCAAAAAGTCACTGAATGCTCCAATGCCTATTCTCCTTGACAAATCTCTCAAAAATCAATTGCCATAGTTGTCAAGGAAAGGTAGAGGAATAATACAAAAATTCTAGGTGATTAATATTTTGGAGTCTATGAAAATAATTAACAAAATTTGGAACAAAGTCAATAAATCCAAACTTAAACTTGTTATTTAGGATTTTTAAAATTTTAAATCAAATCTGAAATAAATAAGCATCCCAGAAACTAACTGACCTCAAGGTCAGACTGGAATTAAGTTTTTTCTACAAAGGTGGTTAAATTAGGATATCATTCTTAGAGACTGGCAATGAAGATTTTACTGAAATAGAAGAGCAAGGGATCAATGAAGAAATCACCCTGACACTGTGTTCCCCCAACATTTACCATTCAAAGACATTTGTAGCAGATCTACAATGTCAAATTAGTGATAAAAATCTATGAGAGATTATTCTAATTTTGAATTCAAAGACTGCTGGAACAATACAGTACGCCCATATAGGCTACTGGAAAATTTTATCAGGAAAGGAAGAAAGCATCTTTAATCTAAATTTTAATAAATTCCTACTTGAAGAAGCCTTAATCAGTCTATCCCATGGAAATCATCCAAAAGGAACATTCATTCATATATTTGTCAATATTTGGTTTCACCTCTTATATTTTTAATTTTTAAAAACTGTATTTTCAAGACTTATTTTCATAATCAATTTAGGTATTTTTAAGTTATGAAATGCCGTTCTTGCAATGAAGTGCCAATATAGAACTGCACCTACAGAAAGTAAGGATTTAACTTACAACTCTTGACTGTTGCAAAACAAACTAAATCACAGATTGATTTAACATATAAACATAGAGCATTATTAAATTTGGTGATGTGTGGTATACTGCCAAAGGTTATCAAGTTAAAACTTAAATTCAATCTGCAGTAGTTCAAATTGCGAATTTAAAATGGTAGTCAGCAAAAATTTCTAATGAGTCTCTTCCATATTTAATGGGTTTCGAGGAAGCTAGATATGGGGTGGAGGTTACAGAGGCAAGAATAGAGTCCACAAGCAGCTAATTTTTAACCGTATTTAATTAAATATACACCCCAAAGAGTAAAGTCTCACATAAATTTCATTTTATATGGTCAACAATGATGTACAACTGAGCTATATCTAAGTTGGAGTAGCTTTCTTTAAGAGTCTTTACAAAATAATTCTTAGAACTATTTTAGAAGAATGTTAAGACTTTCAAATCAACATTCCTGGAAAATTTCAGCCTTTCTGCTTTCAGCTAAGGAACTCATACCTACTCACCAGGTTAAAATTTCATCTATTTGAATAAGCCTGAGAGATGCCAGAGAGTCACAGGATGAAACGTCAGGATATACCATTAGTTGCTTCCCCAAATTAGTAGAAAGAAATTTTATTGAAAATTTCTTTAATTTCTATAAAATTAAAATTTTATAGAAATTTTATTGAAAGAAATGCCTTTCTTTCAATAAAAGAAGGGAAAACTTTGTTATGGGTACATGTGCAGATACTTTTTTTTTGGGGGGGGACAGGGTCTAGCTCTGTCACCCTGGCTGGAGTGCAGTGGCACAATCATAGCTCACTGCAGCCTTGATCTCCTAGGCTCAAAGGATCCTCCCACCTCAGCCTCCCACATGGCACCATGCCCAGCTAATTTTTTTTTTTTAAAGACGGGGTCTCACTACGTTGCCCAGGCTGGTCTTGAATTCCTGGGCTCAGATGATCCTCCTGCCTCAGCTTCTCAAAGTGCTGGGATTATAGGTGTGAGCCACCACTCCTAGCCTTGTTTTTCGGTTTTTTAAAGTAAGAAACCTGCTCGTATTAAAATTGTTTTATAAATAAGATCTACAGTTAATTGGCTTCTAGGTTAATCTAACAATTCTGCTAAAATGCTACTGAATCCATAAAATATTTTGTCTCAATCTAATCTAGTGAAGTATTATTACAAATGTTATTTGTTGTACTACTTTCAATGTAACTAAACAAGAGATATTTATAAAAAACAAATACTTTTCATCCATGCGGCTTCTCATTTTCTTCAGTTTCTGCATAATGCTGCTAGTTTCACTGCTGGAGATTGAAATGGGAGAAGGACTGCGGGTCTCCAAGTCAGTTGGACCAGGACTGGTTGCCTTATTATCCTTTGTATCATCATCACTATGAGAGTCCTGCAAACAAAAAGAGGCAAAATTGTATTGGACTTTAATAGGACCTTGAAGCCATCATAATACTGTCAATTCAAAATTAAGTTTATCCACAATACAATGTTTATAACAATAGTTGAAAATAAGATAATAAAGGACAAAATATATCACACACTTAAAAATGGTTAAACTAGTACATTTCATATTATGTATATTTTTACCACCATTTATATATAGAGAGAAAAAGAGAATATCACAACATGTAATAATTTTAAAAAAGAAGAAATGTAAGAAATCCAAAAAAGCTTCTGCTATTAGTAATCTAGTATCTGCACATCCTCTCTGAGATTTCAAAGTTGGACCACTCAAAAGGAATAAAAAAATTAGACTATAACTATATAAAACATGTATGTACAGACACAAAGAATGACTGGAAGATGTAACATTTATTTTAATCATACTAGGGCATGGGTTTTTTCCTTTGAATATTCCTTATGCAAAACAGTGTTTTCAAAAATTAAAAAAGTTTGTAAAGAAAACATTTGGAAACTATTAATCAATACATTATTTCTGATGAGCAAAAAGTAAAACTTTAATTGCTTAGTATGTTTTCCCCACAAACAGTCATTTATTCTCCTAACTTTTCAGGAAGATGGGTAGCAACAGTAATGACTGTTTTTATTTTGTTTAAAAAAAAAAAGTAGAGCCCTTGAGCTTCCCTTTCTTCCTCTTGAACAGTTAAGTCTTATAGTCATTGGATGCGACAGAGCAAGGCGGGCATCTTAGGGGCTGAGGGACACAGGAGGGCAAGAGTGGGGTCTCAGAACCTGAGTAGGATGAAGAGGGCATCCAATGCAGGAGGGTGGCCGGTAAGGGAAATCAGAGCCCAAGAAGGCCAACAAGAATGTCACATGGAAGTGACCCCCACACACAACTGCAAGCCCAAGCACAGTGAGGATGGCCTTACCACAGAGAACTTCCTAGCACAAGAGCCAGAGTCCAAAGAGAGCAAGGAAGAGAGGGTGTGAGGAGATGGGAATAGCCCAACTTGGGGAGTCAGAGCCCAGGTGGAATGAGAAGGGCACCCACTTTCAGGTAGTCTGCAGATTAAGTGGTAGTAATGTATCAATGTTAATTTGTTGGCAACTTACTCTCAGATAACTCAGGATAATAGAATTTTTTGTACTGTTTGACATTTTTCTGTAAGTTTGAGATTTTTTCAAAATTTAAAGTTTACTTTAAAAATCAAAGCAGAGCATATTAGGAATTTTAAAAATTATACTGCTATACAGCCTGGGTTTTCTCACACTATAATGATTTTTTTTTGAGACAGGGTCTTGCTTTATCACCTAGGCTGGAGTGCAGTGGTGTGGTCACAGCTTACTGCAGCTTTGGCCTGCTAGGCTGAAGCAATCCTCCCACCTCAGCCTCGCAAGTAGCTGGGACTATAGGTGTATGCCACCATGTCCAGCTAATTTTTATATTTTTTGTAGAGCTAGGAGTTTCGCCCTGTTGCCCAGGCTGGTCTCAAACTCCTGAGCTCAAGCGATCTGCCCACCTAGGCCTCCCAAAGTGTTGGGATTACAGGTGTTTGAGTTACGGCACCCAGCCCTACATTGACATTTTATAGTACCTTAGAATAGGTCCACTGGACATGGTGGCTCACACCTGTAATCCTAACACTCTGGGAGGCTGAGGCAGATGGATTGCTTGAGCCCAGGAGTTGGAGACCAGCCTGAGCAACATGGCGAAACTCCATCTCTATAAAAAATACAAAAAATTAGCTGAGGGTGGAGGTGCATGCCTATAGTCCCAGCTACTCGGGAGGCTGAGGTGAGAGGATTACCTAACCCCTGGGAGGTCAAGGCTGCTGTGAGCTGTGATTGCACCATTTTATTCCAGTCCAGGTGACAGAGTGAGACCGTGTCTCCAAAAAAAAAAAAAAAAAAAAAGTTTCAAATTTTGTTTTTGTCTAATATCTCCTTTGAATCATGTATCATCATATTAAAGTTGGATAGCTAAAATGAGTATCATGTAAATAGTAAAACAGTCTCCCCCATTAATTCTGAAGAATTTGTTTGGATTGATAAATAAGAGCAAAGCCCTCTGTTCCAATTTAGTTTGTAAGTGAAAAATATTCTAAATTAAACTAATATTGTATAAGAACTATGTGGCCCTTTCAAAATTTGAATATTCCATAGGAAAAAAATAAAACTCTCACTATACATTAGGGCATTGCTACGGTTTGAATGTTTGTCCCCTCTGTAACTCATGTTGAATCTTAATTCTCATTGTAACATTAAGACAGTGGGAAATCAGACTATGGTATTTGAGAGGTAGAACTTTTGAAAGGTAATTAGAAATAGATGATGTCATGAGGGTTGGACTTTAGTGGCTTAATAAGAGAAGAAAGAGGGGATTGAGCTAGCACACTCAGCCCCCTTGTCATGTGATGCCCTGCATCACCGCTTGGGACTCTGCGGAGAGTCCCTACCAGCAAGAAGGCCCTCACCAGATGTGGCACCTTGACCTTGAACTTCTCACCTTCCAGAACTGTTAAGAAAAAATTTTGCTCCTTTATAAATTACCCAGTCTTAGGTATTCAGTTATAGCAACAGAAAATGGACTAAGACTGGCCCATCCATAGAACTTTATCCTAGTTCATTATTGTATCATACTGCTTGAATGAATATTATCTTAGAACATGAGACAGGGTTAGATACCGACAATCAAAATAAGACAGGAAACAAATAATAACTTCATGTAGTTTACCAATTTACTCTCCCCTGCAGACTTCAATTTCTCCTGTAGTTTTATGGTGGTCTGTCGGATCTTTTCTATCTCCTCCTGCTGTTTAAGAATCAGCTGTCTTTCCTTCCGAGCTGCCTTATTGGCTTCTTGAAGACGTTTTATTTCTGCCTAAGGTTTAAAGAGTTAAGAGAGGGATTAAGATTGGGAGAAGACAAGGCCAAAGTAATATTTAAAAAAAAAATCAGCACATATATTAAAAATAAATACATATAGTATTTTATAATAAAAGTAGTAATACTGAAAAGTTTAAAAAATAGTGAGGGAGGAAATAAATCATATATAATCCCACCATTCTAAAATAATTTAATATGATCTCTTAATTTTAAATTATAATTAGATTGATAATTTCATATCCCATTTTAAAACATAACATATATTTTACATTTTTCCATAATGCTACTCAACGTTTACACTTACTAGTTTAATAGCTGCTTATCAAGTAAACTAATTAATGTAACTATTATTCTATTGCTAAACTTTTAGGCCCCTATAATGTTTTACTATCTCAAATAATGCTTTAATGCCCATAGCTGTTTCATACCATGGATTAATTCTTTAGGAGAGATTTCTAAAAGTAAAATAAACAAGTCAAAGACAATGAATCATTTTATGGTTCTTAAAAACAGTTTTTAAAATTGCTTTCAAAAAAGGACTGCCCCTGTCTACAATGCTACCAGAAACATTTAAGACTACATTGTACCAATATCTCTCCACACAGAATACTGTTTTCAGTTGCTATGTGGGCAGAAGATAATACACTTCACTGCTAATAATTGTCAAAATTTAACAGATAATCCTTTTTAAAAAATAAATTTGTTTTAAATCTGTTTTCTTGGCTGGGCATGGTGGCTCACACCTGTAATCCTAGCACTTTGGGAGGCCAAGGCAGGCAGATCACTTGAGCCCAGGAGTTGACTAGCCTAGGCAACATGGTGAAACCCCACCTCTACAAAAGACACAAAAATTAGCCAGGCGTGGTGGCACTCACCTGTGGTCCCAGCCACTTGGGAGGCTGAGGTGGGAGGATCAACCTGAGCCCAGGAGGTCAAGGTTGCAGTGAGCCAAAATCATGCCACTGCACTCCAGCCCAGGAAACAGAGTGAGACCCTGTCTCAATCAATCAATCAATCAATCAATCAATGTTTTCTTATCAATAAAGCATAATAAACACATTAAAATTTGTTAGTTATAATTATTTTAATCATTGAGATTTTTCTGAAACTACCTTAAAATGCAAAAAAGTGCTTTATAAACATCTACATTTCCAAAACACCAAGTTAACAATTGTTAATATTCAGTTATATTTTCTCCTAGTCTTTAATCCTGTAAAGAAATAAAACATTACAGATAAAACTAGTCTGCAATCTTGTGCCCCAACTCCTCAGAGGTAACAACTATCATGGGTTTGGTATCTATCCTTCCAGCACATTCTTTTTAAATTATTCTAAAAATATTTGTGCTTATCTGCAAAAAAAAAGATATACTATTTGGTTTGTATGTTTAAAAATATTTTATAAATATCATATGTATATATTTTAAATCTTGCTTTACTAGATATCACTTTTGATATTTCACCATGCTAATTTACGCCTTTTAATGCTGCATAAAATTACAGTGGAGAACCATATATTTATCTCTTACCCATGTATGGTGGGATTATTTTTATTTTTAAAATTTTTTAGAGTCAAGGTCTTGCTCTGTTGCCCAGGCTGGAGTAGTACAGTGGCTCAATGCAGCCTCAAACTCATGGGCTCAAGTGATCTTCCCACCTTAGCCTCCCAAGTAGCTAGGACTACAAGCACGTGCCACCACGCATAGCTAATTTTTATTTTATTTTATTTTTTTGTAGACACAGGGTCTTGCTATGTTGCCTAGAGTGGTCTCAAACTCCTGGCCTCAAGTGATCTGTCTTTGGCCTCCCAAAGCACTGGGATTATAGGCATGAGCCACTGTGCCCACCCCATATGGTGAGATTTTAAGGTTGTTCTTTATTTTTCACTATTGTACAAACAATGCTGTAAGTGAAGAGCCTTATACATTTTGTCTTCTTGGGCACATTTATAAATTTTTCTGGAGTAGCAGTTCTCAAAGTGTGCTCTATGAAATCCCTGGAAGTCTTGAGACCCTGTTAGGGGACTCTGAGCATCAAACCATTTTTTATAACACTAAATACATTGTTAGCAAATATATTACTTGCTCTTTATTCTCATTCCCTAATGAGTATACAATGATTGTGTACATTTTAAAGAAAGTAACTATATTTTCCAAAACAAAAAATAATTTAGTGAAAAGAATGATATTTTAGAGTTTTGCAAATCTCTTTATTGTCTAGCTTGATTTTTTTTTTAACATTGTGCACTGGTCACTGGGAAAATGTTGGTTCACTAAGTTATGTGGATTTTCTAAATGTTGACACACTTCATTATGCAATATCAAACAGTTATACTCATGAATATCACCATTAATCTCAAAAGAAAAATTATTTTGGGTGGGCAACAGAAATTTTTCAAAATCCTGACTTTTGTGTGAAAGCTTGAATTTTATCATTGGCAACATATATTGTCAGTTATTTATTTGAAGTGACAGGGATACTTTCTTTGTTTTTAAGAAAAACATTTGTCAAACACTCAAATCCGAATTAGCACAGGTTGCCTTGAATCATTCTTTCAAGTAAAAATACTATTCCATGAAAAAAAAAAAAAGGCTCACAATTCAAACAAGTGCACAAATACTTCTTGAATTAATCACTATATTCTGGTATCGAGCAAAGATGTCTGATTATGGATTTCCCGTTTCTGTCACACAGAATACAAAAAAGACATGTACTCAAGAGTTCAAGACAATAAAATTAATAATTCTTACTACTCAATCAGGACATTCTAAATGAAACTTGCTTTTTTTAACTGCAAGTAAGTGGCATGAAGAATAAGAAAATTACCAATACAGTTTGGTGCCACTGACTTGTGATAAAGCACCAGCAGTTTTACTCAGCATTGTTTTCTACTATTTAGTACAAATGTCAACACAGTGAAAAGGGCAAATTCATAACAGAGTATCATTAAGAAAATAGTTTTGACCTTCCAGACCTGTGAAAGGGTCTTAGAGGCCAGAGTTTCACAGAGTACGTTTTGAAACTTCCACTAACTTAGGCCTGAGTTTCTGAACTAAATAATGTATAAATTCACCCAATTCAAGCCTAGAAGAAAAAAGAGACAACTTCTAAGGAATACTTGGGAAACAGGTTTGTCCCTCTTGTAAGAATAATTCATGAAGTTGTACAAATGAACTGTTCACTTTAAAATGGTGAATGGTGTAAGTGAATTATTCACTTTATTAAAATGGTTATTTTTATGTGTTATGAATGTCACTTCAGGGAGGGTAAAACGAATAAGACATAGGAAAATATGGTCTCTCTTTTTTGGATACGGTTGTACCAAATTGCTTAGAGCCAGCCATTTCACTATCAGTCAAAAGAATTCTTACTGCTACAGTTGCAAGAAATATCTTAGCACATATATTCTTACACTTTGGTTTTTTCAACATATAAGGCAACTTTTCAGGGGTAACCAATTGGATCAAAGAGTATATTTTGCATATTTACTTAAAAAATTCTTAAGTATTACAAAAAGAAAAAGTAGTCACTCATATCCCTACGACTGGCATTAAACATATTTAACAGTTTGCACATTTGTTTCAAATATGTTATTATCTATAAATAGATAAATACAGATGAAACCAAACTCCATGCCAATCTCTTCCTCCTTCCTCTCTTCCCCAGAAGTGTATCATTTCTATATGTGGTTTTTTGCTTTTGATGCATGAGTGGTTCCACAGAACATATACTACTAATTGGTTACTTTAAAAAAATTTATATGACTGGTATAATACTGTATATATTCTTTGCATCTTGCTTTTCTATTAAAAAGAACATTATGGTTTTTGATAAATGAAGATCTCATGCTACACTGTCCAATATGACAGCTTCTAGCTACATGTGGCTAGTAGCTACAGTATTGGACAACACAGATAAAGAAAATTACTATCATTTCAGAAATCTCTACAGACAGTGTTGATATCTAACACATTCAGTTTCCTGCAGTATTATACTTTCTTGCAAGAATATGTTTTATTTCATCTATTCTTTTATTGAAGAAATTAAGTTGTTTTCATTTTCCCTTGAACATATGTGAAAGCTTTTTTAGGATATATACCAAGACAGAACTGCTGAGTCATATATTATATATGTCCTCAACTGAACCAGGTAGTGGCAATTGCTCTCAACTCAAAGTGGTTACACCAGTCAACACTCTAACCATCCACACAGAGCCACAGTGACAAAACTAGGAGACTCAGGAGATCTCAAACTCACATTCTCCTCAAAGCAGTTGTCAAGTTCTGAAGTAGCACATAGAGGGCTAAGGAGTTAACCCAGAAAAGTCTCAAAAGCAGGGCAGAAATCCCCAGTCTCTTGTGCTGAGTAAAAAGTATTATCTGGGTTTCCAGTGAATCCCTGGAGAGCCCCAACCTAGGGATAATGCAGACCAGAAGTAGACTGAGGCTTACCAACTCTACAACCTAACCCTAACCCAGCACAATCTTTGAATGAATTAAGATGAACAGTTGATAACTCTAATAAAATAGCAAAAGAAAACTCTCATAAAATAGCAAAAGAAAGGATAAATCCTCTCTGGGGGAAGAGACCATCAGCTGGAGCCTTTGCAGTTATTTATATAACTGTGACTAGTATTCAACAAAAAAATTACTAGGCATGCAAAGAAAAGGGGCCATACGATAGTTTAAAAAAAAAAAAAGAAAACAGACAATAGTAATAATAGAGGCACACATGGCCACATACAAGCAGACAGGGAAGAAACAGCAGTCAAGAACATTAAAATAACTATGGATAATAAGTAGAAAAAGAAAAGTAGGCCAGGCACGGTGGCTCACGCCTGTAATCCCAGCACTTTGGGAAGCCAAGGTGGGTGGATCACCTGAGGTCAGGGGCTCGAGACCAGCCTGGCCAACATGGTGAAACCCCGTCTCTACTAAAAATACAAAAAAATTAGCTGGGTGTGGTGGCAGACGCCTGTAATCCCAGCTACTCAGGAGGCTGAGGCAGGAGAATCACTTGTACCCGAGAGGCAGGGGTTGCAGTGAGCCAAGATCGCGCCATTGCACTCTGGCCTGGGCAGGAAGAGTGAAACTCCATCTCCAAAAAAAAAAAAAAAGAAAGAAAAGTAGATTAAAGGGTAGAGAATTTCAACAGAGTCAAAATCTATTTTAAAAAGAATAAAATTGGGTATTATAGAACGAAAACAAATCGAATTAAGAACTCACTGGATAGACTTAGCAGCACACTGGGCAAAGTAGAGGACATACTAATGAACTCAAAGACAGGTCAATAAAAACTTTCCAAACTGAAGCACAGTGTTTTTAGTTTTTAATTTGTTTTAAGGAATGAAATACAAACAAGACAGAAGAGAGGGATGTGGCAAATGGTCAAAAGGTCTAACCTATGTCTAATTGAAGTCCCTGAAGGAAAGGAGAAAAAGAATGAGGTAGAAGTGACCAGGCACAGTGGCTCACACCTGTAATCCTAGTACTCTGGGAGGCCAACGTGGGGGGATCACTTGAGTCCAGGAGTTCAAGACCAGCCTGGGTAACATGGCGAAACCCCATCTCTACAAAAAATTACCTGGCACTGGTGGCGCACACCTGTGGTCCCAGCTACAGGGGAGGCTTAGGTGAGAGGATTGCTTGAGCCCTAGAGGCAGAGGTTGCAGTGAGCTGAGATCGTGCCACTGTACTCCAGCCTGGGAAACAGAGTGGGACCCTGTCTCAAAAAAAAAAAGGGGGGGGGGGAGGGGCAGAAGCAATACATGAAGAGAGAGTTTCTGAAAAACTGATTAAATAAAAAAACCAATACAAGAAGCTCAGCAAATCCTAAATAGGATAGATACAAAGGAAACCACGCCTACATGCATCATAGTAAAACTACTGAAAAACTGGGTAATTTTTAAATAATCTTAAGAGGAACCTTCAAAAGAACAAGATTAAGATAACTGACCTCTCCACATAAACAATGGAAAGCAGTAAATAATGGAAAATATCTTTAGAAGTGCTGAAAGAAAATAATTTTATGCCTATTAAAAATATCCTTCAAAAATAAAGGTGAAACAAATACATTTTCAAACTAATCAAAACAAAAAACATGTTATTAGCAGGCATGCAATAAAATACCAGATGTATCAAAATGAAAAATTTTATACTTCAAAGGATACTATCAAGAAAGTGAAAAGAAACCCCACAGAATGAGGGATAAATTTATAAATCTTATTTTTATTCTATTTTATAACAGAAAGCTATTGTGTAACATTATAGAAAGTTATTTACTTATTTTAACTAAGAAAAAATTTTAATTTATTTTAAAACCAATTTTTTGGATTAAAAAGACACAACTTATTTTTTAAAAAATAGAATTCAGGCCGGGTAAGGTGGCTCATGCCTGTAATCCCAGCATTTGGGAGGCTGAGGATGGCGGATCGCGAGGTCAGGAGATCAAGACCATCCTGGCTGACATGGTGAAATCCCGTCTCTACTAAAAATACAAAAAAATTAGCCAGGCGCGGTGGTGGGGGCTGTAGTCCCAGCTACTCAGGAGGCTGAGGCAGGAGAATGGCGCCTGGGAGGCGGAGCTTGCAGTGAGCCGAGATAGCGCCACTGCAGTCCAGCCTGGGTAAAAGAGCGAGACTGTCTCAAAAAAAAAAAAAAAAAAAAAAAAGATGGAATTCAGAATTTATTCAAATTCATATTATCTGTAATGTTTCCTGGGATAAACATACAACTAAGTAATAAGCCAATATATAATTCAGATAATTAGCTTCCTAAATCATCTAACACAGTAGCTAGCACCTGACAACAGGTTAATATGGGGAAAAAAACTGGAATCTATTGAATACTTACCAGGCACAGTGAAACCCACTTTACATATGTTACCTCATTTAATCCTCACAACCACTATATGAAGTATAATCCCACTCCTACAGATGAGGAAATTAAGTCTCAGAGAGTTACTTAAACTTTGACCATGATTACACAGTTTCAAGTGACAACGCTGGAATTCAAATAATAGCAACTAATATTTATTGAGCACTTACCATTGTGCCACAGTCTGCTCTAAGTTTATTTTATGTATTAACTCACTTATTTCTTAAAACAACCCTATAAAGTATGTTACTATTATTATCTTCAGTTTACAGATGAGGAAACTGAGACACAGAGAAGTTAAGTAACTTGTTCAAGGTTATGAAACCAGCAACTGGTAAAGTTGGGATTTTAGCCTAGGAAATCTAACTCCAGAGCCTGAATTCTTTACCACTACACCACCATGCTGCCTCTCCAGAATTCAAAACTGAGGTCTTTCTAAGTCCATTAAGCCAAAATATTTATCAATATGTAATTAATATGTCATGAAAGTCTAGGGAAACAATAATTTAAAATTTAATCCAAATAGATTCTTTTACACATATCTTAATTTTTAAAATTTGTATTTCAAAAGAGTATTTTCTTCTACTTACTACATGAAGGTAGAAAGTTTGCCTGTGTATTTTATTAATTTAGGAGTGACACACAATCCTCATTTAGGAGAAATACAGTAGATTACCAAGCAACCCCTATAATTATAGTAGTATGAACATAAACAGTGGAAGTATCAACTAAATCTCATTTAAGGCAATGATAAGGAAAAGAAATCAGGCAAAATAATAGATTCCACAAACTAACTTGCCTTATAAGCTGTCCTAAAGGGGTGCCTTCCCTAACATACCTTTTCTTGCTGCAACCTTAAAAGCAAACCACGCTGTTTCTTCCGGAGCGGGGGCATTTTATCATCCTCTCCTTTGTCTCGTAGATGTCTGCAAATAATATTTTTCATTGAGACAAAGATTTGATTAAATTTCTCTTACCTGAATAATGTCAAGAATTCTTGACTACTAAAAAGTCTACAAACCAATTTAACATTTTCAAATGTGAAAAGCAGTTGCTACATGTAGCCGTAACCATTAATATCCAAATAAGTATTTCACTGAGGTATATGCAAGCCCTAGAATGTGTCCTCTGGAGACAGAAGGACTTGGGGAAGTTTACAATATTGCATCATATGACAACATAAGATTACAGTCAGTTAAGTGATAAAAGGGGAATGCAAAGAAAATGTTACGTGGGTAGGAGGAGGTCTTGAAAGAAATACAAATCAAGTATGACTGCCGTTATTTCTAGCTTGAGAAACTGGGCTGCTCTAATCAAATGAAATGAGGAAACAAAAAAATCTTAAAATATAAAGCATTCCATTTTATGAATGAAGAAATTAGTGAAAACTGCTCAAAAGAACTTACTTTTTTTGATGCTCTAACCAGGCCAATTCAGCCTTAGTCTTCTCCTTCAAGGCCTTTTCACGGAGACGCAGGAGTGAAGACTGGTGAGCTGCCCTCATTTCTTCCTCTTTCATATACTGTCGAACCATCTCCATAGTAAATTTAGAAAAGCTATCTTGTCCTCCTGAGAATGGCATGTTCAGTTCCTAAAGTAGATGGTTTCTTTCTTGTTTATCATCATCTAACCTTTTGGTACTTAATTCCACTAAAAGAGGTATGCATTTACAAAAACAAACTATGTATTTAACAAGGCCACCAACAATGTAAGAGTATATTCTTTAAAAAGGCACATGAGGCAGATTAACATTCATCTGCTAATTTATTCAGCCAATAAAATTTTAATAAACTACTGCAAGCCAATTACTGTCCCAAGGATACAAAGTGGGTAAGAATTTGTTCCTCTTAACCAAGAGGATTACAATTTGGTAAGAACGAATGTAAATTTCTAAATGGAATAAAGTATTAGAAGAGTGAAGCAAGTACAAAAGCTAGAGAGATAATATTGGCTCAGATCCTCAAAGGCCTTATATATCATTCCAAAAAATAAGTTTGTATTGTACTTTGTAAGGAAAGTGAAACCAGATTTCATAGGAAAACTATAAAATAAAACTGATATCTTAGAAAAATCATTCTAGTAGCTGACAAATGAGATAAGTACAAAATGTTTTCTCATATCTTTGAGAGAACATATCCACAACCATTTACCTCCACAGATAAAGTGAAACACACCTTGGCAGTAGACAGTGTAGTTTTTTCTGGAGAAGCTTCTTCATCAGAGTCATCATGATGACCTCTTCTCTTTTCCATGTTAAATCTGCGGTGACTCTCTGAAGGTAGTAATGATCGAAATGATTGTTCTTCTATTTCATCTTCTGTCATGGATTCATCAAATTTCAGAGAATATTCTGTTGCAATAGACGTTGAGTCTAAAAGAATATGGAGAAAGTAGATTTTATCATTATAATTGTTCTCAGTAGGTATTCAATTAATAGCCCTTTGCCTCTTTATGGGACAATCCAACATAAATTCATAAAATTGATCACTAATAAATAGACATGAAATAATAAACAAAATTCATTTGCCTTACAAGCAAGAAAAAGCCTCTAAAAATACCTAGAAATATTAGGTTAAGACATATAAAGATTAATGTTGCAAAAAATTTAGAGAGCTCTTACAAATCAATTAGAAAACCACTAATGCACCTATAGAAAAATGAAAAAAGGCCAGATCAGATGCTTTACAAAGGAAATATAAATAGTAAAAGTGAAAAAAATGTTTAACATTACTATCAATCAAAGAAATGAAGTAAAAATATCTTTTTAAAAAACTCATTAATTCCAAGCTTAATTAGAATATGACAGCTCTTTCAGTTTGGTTCCTGTGTGCCTTTGCCATGGTCCTGCATCCTTTTTTTTATTGAATACTTCTTCCCTTTCTGGTACTACAAGATACTCCAGGCTCAAACTGTATTTTCCCTACAGCCCTAGAATCAGCTATTTCTACAAAGAGCTCTTATTTATTTTATTAAAGAATGATATTTAGAAACCACAATCTAGGGGCCAGGCACAGGGGCTCACACCTGTAATTCCAGCATTTTGGGATGCCAAGGTGGGAGGATCCCTTGAGGCCAGGAGTTCGAGACCAGCCTGGGTGACAGAGCAAGACCCCGTCTCTTAAAAAAAGAAAGAAAGAAAGAATTTGTAGGCACTAGTTGTCCTTGTTACTACAGTTGTATCACTGCTTCTGCACTTGCTCAGTGGACAGAGCTAGGTAATATATGGATGTATATTAATCCATGTATACGTGTGTGCACATAGTTACGCATACAATTACAATTGCTTTTGTACCCATCCAGTCAGCCAGCTAAACATGAATTCGTACTTATGTCTATGATCCAGTACCAGAGTTCATTCTAGTCTTCCTTTCTTGTGTATCTTCCCTTCCAACACTGAGAAACCTGGCTCTGACCATCCAACACTCGTTTACTTATTTGTTCAAACCCAATATATATGTAAAGAACTGTTAACCTGTACCCCTGTGAAAAACTATTATCCAATTAGAGTATAGGTTTATGTACCGTTCCTTTTGTATTAGGCTTATATTAATAGTTTCCACTCAAGACACCATTTTCCAAAGTTACTTACTTAGATCAGCTCTTTCCCCCAACCCCTTCAATGTTGTTATGCCATGTATCTGTAACACAGTTAGATCCATTTATTGCAGGCTGCGTTCCATTTTGGGAACTCCCAATATCCTGATTAATGTGTGTGTATGCATGATTAGTTCACAGATATTAAAATTTACTCATTGTGATACACAGTTTCAAGGTTTTGACAAATACATAGCATCATACAGAACATACATACACACAGAACAACTACTCTATGTAACAGTTCCTTCATCCTAAACGTTGCTCCGTGCATCCTCTTTGCAGTCAACTACTTCCTCTTCCCCCAATGCCTAAAAACCAATTGTTTTCCAACTCTTTAGTTGTGGCTTTTACAGACTGTCATATAAATTGAATCATATTATAATACACAGACTTTTGGGGCCTGCTTTTTCACTTAGTAAAATTCATTTAAAATTCGTCCATGTGTGCTCCCTTCAACAGTTCATCTGGTAGAGCGGAGGTCTGGTAGAGCGGAGGACTGTAAAATTCGTTCATGTTGCTACATGAATCAAAAGATTATTCCTTTTAACAGCTGAATAGTATTTCGTTGTATGGATGTACCAGTTTGTTTATCCATTCCCCTAGTAAAGGACATCTTGGTTGCTTCTAGTTCTTAGCAATTATGAATACGCTGCTATGAACATCAGTATATAGGTTGTTATGTAGACATAAGTTTTCAAATCACTTGGTAAATATCCAGGCATTTGACTGCTGGATTGTATGGTTAAGTCTTACAAGACACTATCTTTCACAGTGACCATATAATTTTCCATTCTCACCAGCAATGTATGCAAGTTCCTGTTGCTCTGCATCCTTGTTACCAATTTGTTATTGTCTGTTTTTCTGATAGCCATTCTAATAAGTGTGTTATGGCATCTTGTAATTTTAATTTTAATTTCTCTAATGATATACGATGTTGAAGACTTTTTCCTGTGTCTATGTGCCATCTGCATATTTTCTTCAATGAAGTATCTGTTCAGATCTTCCGTACATTTGTAAAATTGAGTTGTTTTTCCTATTATTGAGGTTTTTTTGTTTTTTTTTTTTTTTTTGGTTTTTTTGGAGACAGAATCTCACTCTCGTTGCCCAGGTTGGAGTGCAGTGGCACCATCTCGGCTCCCTGCAACCTCCACCTCCCGGGTTCAAGCAATTCTCCTGCTTCAGCCTCCTGAGTAGCTGGGACTACAGGCGCATACCACCATGCCCAGATAATTTTTGTATTTTTAGTAGAGATGGGGTTTCACCATGTTGGCCAGGCTGGTCTTGAACTCCTGACCTCAGGTGATCTGCCTGCCTCAGCCTCCCAAAGTGCTGGGATTTCAGGTATAAGCCACTGCACCCAGCCTTCTATTATTGAGTTTTAAGAGTTCTTTATATATTCTAGATATAAATCCTTTATCAAATATGTGAGCTGCAAATATTTTCTCCCAATCTGTGGCTTTTCATTCTCTTCACAATGTCTTTCACAAAATAGAAGTTTTAAAATTCTGATAAAACACAATTCATCAATTTTTTCTTTCACAGATCACACCTTGAGGTGTTACGTACCTAAGAAGTCATCATGAAACCGAACGTCACCTAGATTTATGTTTTCTTCTACATACGAGGTTAAGGGTTTGGTTTCTTTGGATAGTGGCTGCCCTGTGAATTCTAGCTGTCTTGGCTTCTTTAGATTCCTAACTCCATTTCCTCAACTCAAGAAGACCACTGGGCTCCATGCTCTGCAGTCTGGAAACTCTCTAGGCAGTAAACTGGTAGAACTGTAGCATTCATTTGTTTCCAGTCTCTCATGAATCAACACAATTCAATGCCTGAGGCCCACTGTCTTAAAAATAGTTATTTCATGTTTTGCCTGATATTTTACTTGCTTTAAGAGGGTAAGTAGGCCAGGCGCAGTTGCTCACACCTGTAATCCCAGCACTTTGGGAGGCCAAGGCAGGCGGATCACGAGGTCAGGAGTTCGAGATCAGCCTGACCAACACGGTGAAACCCTGTCTCTACTAAAAATACAAAAATTAGCCAGGTGTTGTGGTGCGTGCCTGTAATCCCAGCTACTCAGGAGGCTGAGGCAGGAGAATCACTTGAACCCAGGAGGCGGAGGTTGCAGTGAGCTGAGATCACGCCACTGCACCCCAGCCTGGTGACAGAACAAGACTCTGTCTCAAAAAAAAAAAAAAAAAAAGGTGTAAGTAAGTCTGGTCCCTGTTGTTCCATCATGGCCAGAAGCAGCAGCAGTCCAAGTAATACTTTTTTGTTTTTGTATTTCTGCTAGTCAAGTAAAGCACAGGGCAAGTAATTCAATATTGTTTAAAGAAATTAAAGTCACTGTTCATGATATTTTAAAATAGTCACTTGACAATTATTTATTCACTGTTATTGGAAGACAGGCACCATGGTAAAGACTTGAGATATGGCACAAACAAGTCACATATCGTTACTGTGTTTCCTTCTAAGGCTTACAAATATTATCTATAATTAAATATGCTTTAATTAGAAACACTATATTATTGAGATAAAGTTTAGTAAATATTAATGAGATAAAGTTAGAAATCTCCTCAGCTAAATATCCAAATACATCACTTTTAATGTCTACATTCCAAAACACTGGAACACAGTTTCAGTCAAGTTGTTTGCCACTTTATTTACTTATTTTTTTTTGAGACAGGTTCTTGCTCTGTCGCCAAAGCTGCAGTGCTATGTCTCAATCATAGCTCACTGTAGACTTGATATCCTAGGCTAAAGTGATCCTCCCATCTTAGCCTCCCACGTACTAGGACCATAGGCTGTGCCACCAAGCCTGGCTAATTTTTAATTTTTTTGTAGCGACAGAGGTCTCCCTATGTTTCCCTGGCTGGTTTCAAACTCCTAGGCTCAAGCAATTCTCCCAGCTCAGCCTCCCAAAGTGCTGGAATTACTGGCATGAGCCACCACATCCAGCTTATTTGCCACTTTATAACAAGGATCACCTTTCCTCTGGTTTCTGAACAAATGATTACACATTTATTTGCAAAGAAAGTTACCTTTTTCATCAGGAAGAGATGGAACACTATCACTTCGTAGAGAATCATCTGCAGCAGTCTGAACCTGTTCATCAATGGAACTCTCTATCTTTTCACCATTAAGTTTCTTCTCATTTTCCTTACAAGATGGAACTGAAGGACTTTCTTGGCGGCTGCTACCACTGCTACTTCTTTTTATGGATACATGGAAACAACAACAACAAAATTAACAAAATAAGGATTATAGCTTCAAAGTAAACTTATTTGGCCAAATGACTGTACTTTATAGTCAAGATAAAAATGAAGAAAGATGTAATATAAAACAGAAAAAGCTAAGTAACATAAGTCTGAGAATATATTGGAAAAGATGAGAAAGATGAGTAGGAGAGAGGAAGGTTTCACTTTTAAATAATAATAATAGGCAGTGTTGTTAGGTTATCACTCCCTTTTTTCCTTTCATTTCAAAATCAAACTTCTGGGAAAGGGAGCTACTACTCACTGTTTCCACTTCTTTACTTTTCATTAACATCACGATTTATCACAATCTGCTTCCACCCCAACTGCTCTACTAAAACTGTTCTAAATAAGCTTAATCTATACTTTGAATTGCCAAATCCAATACATAATTTATTGCTTTGCAATATTAGATGTTGACCATATCTCCTTCTTTAAAAGCTCTACTTGCTAAATAAAATGTAGTAAAATGTTAGAATAATCTGGATGAAAGATATTTGAGGACTTTCTATTATTCTTGCAACTTTTCTATAAGCTTGAAATCATGTCAAAATTAAATGTTAAATAAAAGAGCCCTCCCTTCTTATATCCTATGATTTTACTCTCACCTGCTTTTCCCATCTCTCTAACAAGCTTTCCTTGTTTCTTTCATTTGCTTTAAATTTTTCTGTCTTTCCTTAAAATTGATGGTTCTGTTTTGGTCCTTTTCTTTTCTTTTTTTTTTTTTTTTTTTTTGAGGAGTTTCATTCTGTCGCCCAGGCTGGAGTGCAGTGGCACAATTTGGTTCACTGCAACCTCCACTTCCTGGATTCAAGAGATTCTCCTGCCTCAGCCTCCCGAGTAGCTAGGATTACAGGCATGTGCCACAACACCTGGCTAATTTTTTTTTTGTATTTTTAGTAGAGATGGGGCTTCGCTATGTTGGCCAGGCTGATCTTGAACTCCTAACCTCAGATGATCCACCTGCCTCGGTCTCCCAAAGTGCTGGGATTACAGATGTAAGCCACCATGCTGGCCCTCTTTCTCTTTTATATTACATATTCTCCTTGGGCAATCTTAACCATAACTTCAACTACTATCATTTAGAGTGAGCCTCAAATTTGTATCATTATCTTTGCCCTTCCCTTGATTTTAAGCTTCAAGTATTGAAATGCCATGTGAACTTCTGATTTTGGCTATTCCTCAGCCAACAAACGAAACGTATATTCCCCCAAGCTTTCTCCTCCTTACATTTCTTGGTTTATTCATTCATTACACAAGCCAGGTTAATATACTTAGGATCCTCAGCACATGCTTATTTCCTCTTCCAAAATGCCCTTGCTGCTGTGTCTGCCTAACGACCTATGGAATTCAAGAATCAGTTCAAGTGTTATTTCTAAGAAACTCCATGGATCCCACCCCAACTCTCAAGGAAGCTTTGGTCACTTCTGTCCCTGTGTTCATACTGTTTTTTTGTGTATATTTCTATGACAGTACTTATCAGAATATAATGCAATTGTTTGGTTTAATAAGTTTTTGAAAACATAAATCTTCTAATAAAGCAATAAGGTAAAAGATGTAATGCAGCACACAGTAGGGACTTTCAAGTCAGAAGGACATGGGGTTGAATCCCAATTCTACCAATTAGTAGTTATATGCTAATCATTCACTCAATAAACTTGTAGTAGATTGCCTACTGTGTGCTAGGTACTTTGCTAAGTTCTGGTGATACAAGTATGCATGGTCCCCCCTAAGATGGCTATAACAAAAAAAACAACAAGCATTGGTGAGGACTGTAGAAAAATTTTACGTGGTGGGAAAATAGTATAAAATGCTGCAGTTACTTTGGAAAATAGTTTTGCAATTCTTCAAAAATTTAAACATAGAGCTACCATACATGACCCAGCAATTCCATTCCTAAATATATACTCAAGAGAAATGAAAACATATCCACACAAAAGGTTATATGTGAATGTTCACAGCATTACTTATAATAGTTAAAAAGTGGAAACAACCCAAATGTCCACCAACTGATGAATGGATAAATAAAATGTGGGATATCCAGGCAATAGAATATAATTTGGCCATATAAACAAAGTAGTGATACATGCTACAACATGCATGAAACTTGAAAACATCATGCTAAGTGAAAGAAGTCAGTTACAAAGGGCCACATACTGTAATGATGCCATTTATATAAAAAATCCAGAATAGGCAAATCCATAGAGAACGGAGATAGGAAACAGATTAGTGGTTGCCAGAGGAGGGTATAGGGAGTAACTGCTAATGGTTACTGAGTTTCTTTCTGGGGTGATGAAAACGAAGCCCTCAAAGAGCTTCTAGTCTAGAATGTAACTGACTAACAAAGAAACATGTACACATAGGGTGGTCAAGACTATCACAGCTATACTCACAGTGCTGTAGGAGAACACTTAGGTGAGAGCTAAAGCAGACGGGATAGCACTGATTCTTGAAAGGTAAGTAAAAGTAAACTAAATGAAATGAGATGTGGGATGGTCTAGAAAGAAGGTATATCATATGCAATGGCACAGAAGACAGAGAGCATGGTTCTTCTAGAGAACTGGAAATAGTTAGAATGAGTGGGGTATAGTAAGAGAGGAAATGCCAAGAGATGGGGCTAGAGATGGACCAAAGGCTCAATTATAAAGAAAGTTTTCATGCCAGGCTAAATAATTTAGACCTTAATTTGAATATTCTGAGGGATACTGAAGATTTCAAATAGGTGAATAACCAAATTGGCTAGAAATTTTACAAAAATCACTCTGGTTACCATGTGGCTAATGGAGTGGAGAAAGATTAGAGGATGAGGACAAGTATTAGGAGTTCACCATAGTAATCCAGATGATGGTTTACATGAAGTTTCAGTGAAGGTGTCAGTAAAGGTTAAATGAACATCAGATAGTTTCAGAGACATAATAGCTACTCAATAACTTTTGGTACTTTTCCCACATTTTCATGTCTTTTAGTTTCATGATTTAATTTTTTAAATTGGGGTTTTACTATACTTGACAATGTCAGTATGTTAACTGTAAAAATGCTGGAAAGTAGCCTCTAAAATCTTCTAATCCCAAGATGGAACCATAATTGAAAGCTATAGCCATTCATATCACACCAACTACCAATGACAGCTATTCAATTTTTTTTTTCTTTTGAGATGGAGTCTCACTCTGTCACCCAGGCTGGAGTGCAGTGGTGCGATCTTGGCTCGCTGCAACCTCTGCCTCCCTAGTTCAAGAGATTCTCATGCCTCAGCCTCCTGAGTAGCTGGGATTATGGGCACACGCCACCACGCATGGCTAATTTTTGTTTTTTTAGTAGAGATGGGGCTTTGCCATGTTGGCCAGGCTGGTCTTGAACTCCTAACCTCAGGTGATCTTCCCACCTCGGCCTCCCAAAGTGCTGGAATCACAGGCGTGAGTCACTGTGCCCGGCCTATTCAATATTTTTTATAACAATAAAAATTTGTAACATCAAGAAATATGAATGTCAGCAAGGAAATGTGCAATAAACACAGCCTTTGAAGGCAGATAAATTAAGGTGCAATTCCTTGATGTATCATTATTTATGTGACCTTGAATGGGTTTCTTTTTTTTTTTCCTATAATCAACAATTATTTTATTTTTGGAGTTATGTTTAATTATTCTTTTTTTTTAAATTTTATTATTATTATACTTTAAGTTTTAGGGTACATGTGCACAATGTGCAGGTTTGTTACATATGTATACATGTGCCATGTTGGTGTGCTGCACCCATTAACTCGTCATTTAGCATTAGGTATATCTCCTAATGCTATCCCTCCCCCCTCCCCCCACCCCACAACAGTCCCCGGAGTGTGATGTTTCCCTTCCTGTGTCCATGTGTTCTCATTGTTCAATTCCCACCTATGAGTGAGAACATGCGGTGTTTGGTTTTTTGTCCTTGTGATAGTTTGCTGAGAATGATGGTTTCCAGTTTCATCCATGTCCCTACAAAGGACAGGAACTCATCATTTTTTATGGCTGCATAGTAACATCTCCATGAGCCTCAGTTTTCTAACCTATAAGGATAATACCATCTGCCTTGGAAGGCTGCTGTGAATATTAAATGCAGGAAGAACAATTTATACAATGCTTGTACAATGTAGGTTCTCAAGGAACAGTAGTTACATTATTACATGGACCAACTATTTTGTAAATTGGCTAATTAGGGAAGCCAGCACTTTGAAGGGCACACACTGTTCTATTTAAATAAACAAGATTAAGAAATCAAAGAAAGCAATGTTTAAGCCATTTATCACAATCTACTAAACTGTACTGACAAAGAAATCAAATTGTCTTCACCTTCTATCATGATTCTTGTATCCTGAAGACTCAGAATAACTATCATATGAAGCAGAATACTTCTGATGCTTTGAGTCAAGGGTCCCTTCTTTACTCTGAGAGAGTGAAACAGATGGACTTTTCCTACAAATAAAATAAAAACTGATTAAACATTCAAAGTCTCTAATAACAGAAAGATTTTAAGTATTGCTTAATAGTAATATGAGATAAAATCTTGAACAAATAGATATTATAAAATAACTTACAACACATTAAAGAATATCTTCTGTTTTACTAAGGAAGTAAACACAAATCACTCCTAGTATCAATGAATGTAAACAGAGACTTAAAATCTATGAATTAGAGACAGTCAAAATATGATTAAGAAAACACACACACACACACACACACACACACACACAAATATGGTAATGTCACCCAGTCCCGCCAAAAATAATCTCTTTAATGACTTCATTGCTCCTAGAATAAACTCCAAAATCCTAAGTCTGCAAGGTCCTATACCTTGATCTGATCCCTGCATCATCTCATACCATTTTCTTTGCTCTCTGCCTCCAGCCACAATGGTCTTTATTTCTTTTCTTAAATATGCTATGTTCCTTCTTCCTTCAGGGCCTTTGATCTAGCTATTCTTTACCTCCTTTACATTACTAACTCCTCATCCATTAGATTGCACCACAAGCTTTATTTCCTCAGGAAAGCCTTCTCTGACCTGCTGGCACCCCCAGGCTATTCAAATTCCTGTGTTACATTATCTCTGAGACATGTGTTCCCTTCTTTCATAACACTTAAATCAGTGTATAAGTATTCATTCACTTAACTGAATATTTGAGTAATGTTTATCTTCCCTACTAGACTATGCCCATAACTGTATTCTCAACCAAGAATAATGCCTATAACAACAAATACTCATTACATATTTGCTGAATGAATATTAACCTAACAGACAGTCATTATATATTTGCTGACTGAATGAATATTAACCTATCTGTTTCAGTTCTGGTCCTCAGCTGTTTCACAAAGTCTGGAAGGTGCTGCCGTTGGTGGTCATACAGTATTGCAAGGGGAGCTCCTGAAGCCACGACAGCATCTGAGATATGAGTTCTAGTCAACTCTGCCATCTAAACATGAACACACACAAGAAAGGCAAATGTATTAAAACGTAAGGTCAGAGAACTGAGAAGGAGCATAGTGTCTTGGAAAGAAAGATCACTGACTTGAGAACAAGCAAATTCTGCCACTAATAGATGAAATACTGTGGACAAGTCATTTAGCCTCTTTAAGTCTCAACAGCTTCATCTTATAAAAACAGAGTTAGACTACATGATTTCTACGGTTTCACCCAGCTATAACAATCTATGAATTAGACAGAAAACCTTAAAGCATAACATAAGCAGTAATAAGCCAAAAATTAAATCTTCCTTCAAGAATCAATTTAATTACTACTTCTTTTCTAACTCTTTGCTGACCAACAGGTCAAGTACATTTTCCCTATTCTTAACCACTACTGCAAGTGCTGCATGTACCATCCATTCAGTATTTGTTCAAGCACTACTTTGAGCTATTCCTTTTACTAATGACTTAAAGTGTTTTGAAATCTTTGTTGATGTTGTCTACATTTTAATTTTCTTGAGAAAGGAGACTCAGTTTTATACTAAAATGTACAACTCCACAGTACCCAACATATAGTACATTCATGGATTTCCAATAACTAAGTCATTTTACAAATAGTACTAACTTTTGGTTTAAAAAAATTATAACTGCTAAAATAAAGTGAAACTGTATCAATTATGAATTGTGATATCCTATGTAGAGACAGCAATAAAACTACTTTGGGCTATACCCACGTTATAGAAGAAAAGACAGTAACTAATATCATTCTGGGTAAAAATGAAACATCTTCACCCAAAGCAGATCAGTGGTTCCCCAGGACTGAGATTAGGGACTGGTTGCAAAGAGACATGAGGAAATATGCTATTTCTGGATTGTGGTGATGGTTATAGGGAGATGTGTGTGTGTGTGTGTGTGTGTGTGTGTGTGTGTGAGAGAAAACTCACCAAATTGCATACTTAAAATAGGTACATTTTATTGTTTATAAATTATACATCAATAAAGTTGATATTTTTCTAAAAAGCTTACCAGAGGGCAGAAATTTAGAGCTCTTCATCTTTTTTCTGCCTCTATAACATTCAATCACATGTACAACACACTCCAATCAATGGTGCCTCTTATTTCAATAGGGTATGGCCCCCACTAAAAGTCACTAATTCAAAGTATGCATTTACTAAGATATTAGAAACCCATTACTGAAGATCAAAGTTACTCAGATTGACTAAAAAGAAGTAAAAAGAGAAGTGTTCTCAGTGGCACCTACCTCACAGATTTGACGTGCTGCGTCTGTGGTGAGGCGAGCAGTTTCTGACTGCTGAGCTGCTATTTTACACGTTGCTTCCTGCAGGACTTCAGTTACTTCCCGTTGTGATTGAACCACCTGCTGTAATGATTCTGCATGGACCTTTAAATAAAAGGGGTTTAAAAAAGAAGTTATGTTTTAATCTCCCCTCCTCCTGAATTAATTTTAATTTATAAATTTATTTCATGTCTTATTCATAGTAAAAAACACTTTACTACAATCTGGATTTCATGGTTTAAGTCTTAACTCTACTGTTCACAAGTTACTGTATCTGTGGATAAATAAATACAACGTACCTCAGTTGCCACTTCCCTAAACTGGAAATGAGTCTTGACAATTTATTTCACAAGGTTGTAACAAAAATCGAATTACATGGCATTATCCCATAAAAAGTACTAAAACTTTATTATTTATATATACACTTTTTTCTCCTATATAATTAAAAGAACGCTAAAGTAATTTCTAAGATACAAATTTAGGTTTAAAAAACAAGAACCTGCTGCAAAATAAGTTACCTGAGCTGCTTTGTTTCGGGTTTCTTCTAATTGTCTCTGACTCTCCAGAGCCTCTTGTTCAGCCTTTAGTTTCAAGAGGGCCAAGTCTCTTTCATGGCGTTGCTGTTGTGCCTTCAAAATAATGGTCAAATGTTAATTCTCAGATACGAAACTATTTTAACACAGTGACTATAACACACACAATGCTATCTTACTAATACAAATCATTTGAAGCAACTAATTAGAACCAAAAGGAAAGATAGTAAAAATAATAGTCAACAGCCACTTACCATTTATCAAAATATTTAATGATCACCTCCCATATGCCAAATAATGTAGTAATATAAAAAATTTCCAGGGCATACAGGACTAAGAATTAATACCAAAAAGCCATTTAGAAAGCAAAGGCTATAGCACCCAACTTTTTGGAAGGGATAAAAAATGTCCTATGTGTAAAAATAAAAATAATGCCTCACAAACTCACAATTTTATGATTCTTTCATTTTGACTTTGAAGTAGTAGTTTCATTAAAAAATGATGTCCCCATATAAGGTTTCCTTGTCACCAGGACCCTTTCTTACCACTATCCCACACAATGTTATCTATAAATATATATATATATTTTTTTTTTCATCTCCTTTGAAATACTGCTAAATAATAGAGGTTTTCAAAAGGTGGTAAGGGCTGGGCACAATGGCTCATGTCTGCAATCCCAGCACTTTGGGAGGCCAAGATGGGAGGATCACTTGAGGCCAGGAGTTCAAGATCAGCCTGGTCAACAGAGTGAGACCCCCCCACCTCTATTTTTTTTTTAATTAGAACAAAACAAAAGAAAACAAAAAATGGTGGTAAGGCTGTATGTAAGGCTGTGGTAATGCTCTGCCCAAATCTGGAAACCCAGAATTATAATGTATTTCTAAAGTGGCAGAAAACCTCAGTGCTGACTCAGATTTCAAGGTCAGGATGGCCCTCCACTACAATGGAGTCATTTCCTCAATAAAATGACTATCAACAAAGTTGGCATTAGTCCCTCCCCACCCTCTACCAGGCAACATCTGGAAATGTCCAGAGTTTCTGCTGTCACAATGACTGGACAACACTACTGTTATTTAGTCGGGCAGTGGCGGGGGGAGGGCAGGAATGATGGGATCTCTGCAAAGTATGGGAACAGTCCCACACCAAGAACTGTCTGACGGGTCTTTTGGGAAGAACAAATGGAAAAGGAAACTGAAAAAAAAAAATTTTAGCATCAAAAACCATAAAACATTTGGGAATAAATTTTAAAATGTATAAGACCTCTACAATGAAATACTAATGAGAGAAATATTCAAAGATTTAAATAAATAGAAAAATATATCATGTTCATGAATTAGAAAAGGCAACACTGTTAAGATGTGAATTCTCCCCAGACTGACTAACCTACAGATTCAATACCATTCTAATGAAAATCCTACCAGGCTTTTTGTTGTTGTTGTTGTTGAAACTAACAAACTGATTCTAAAAGTTACACGGAAATGCAAAAAACCTAGAATAGCCAAAATCATCTTTGAAAAAAAGAAACAAAGTTGGAGGAATTATGTCTTGATTTCAAAACTCACTAAAAAGCCATAGTAATAAAGACAATATGGTACTGACATTACAGATAGATGAATAGATTAATGGAAAATGAGTCTAGAAATAGATCTACACATAATTGATCACTTAATCATTGATAAAGGCACCAAGGTAATTTAAGTCTTTTTAATAAAATGGTGCTGGAACAATTGAATATCCATACTAGAGAAAAAGAAACTTTGACTCTCTTCCTCACATCAAATCCAAAAATTAACTTGAGAAGGATTACACACTTAAATATGAAAGATAAAATTATAAAGCTTTTGGAAAAAAACGTAAGAGAATGTTAAGATATCTTAGTATCTTAGGGTAGGATTCCTTTCTTTCCGTTCCCTCCTATCCCTCTCCTCCCTCCCCTCCCTCCCCTCCCTCCCTCCCTCCCTTCCTTCCTTTCTTCCTTTTTTTTTTGAGACAGGGTTTCACTCTGGAGTCCAATGGCACAATCTTGGCTTACTGCAACCTCTGCCTCCCAGACTCAAGCGATTCTCCTGCCTTAGCCAACCGCTACCACCACCCCCCACCCCCCCACCACGCCCAACCCGCCGCAAGTAGCTGGGACTACAGGCATACGCCACGGTGGATGGCTAATTTTTGTATTCATAGTAGAGACGGGATTTCGCCATGTTGCCCCAGCTGGTCTTGGAACTCCTAAGCTTAAGTGAGCTGCCTGCCTTGGCCTCCCAGAAAGTCCTGGGATAACAGGTGTGAGCCACCACAGTCGGCCCAAAGATTTCTTAGAAAATTAAAGGTTCTACCACAAAAGAAAGAAATTAAAACTGGATTTCATCAAAATTTAAAACTTCTATTCCTCAAAAGACACAGTTTAAAAAGTGAAAAGATAAGCCAAGACCTGGAATACAATATTTCCAATACATCTGAAAAGGACTTGTTTCCAGAATATATGAAGAACTCCTATAAAATCAATAATTAAAAAGACAATCCCATAATGAAGGGGGTAAAAGATTTGAACAGATATTCACAAAAGAATGCTCAATAAATACACAAAAAGACAATCAGTCTCATCAGTAATAAGAGAAACGCAAATTACAACCACAATGAGATACTACTTCATACTCAATAGAATGACTGAAATAAAAGACTGATAATACCAAATGATAGCAGGGATACAGACAACTGGCATTCTCCTATATATTACAAGAGTGTAAAATGTTACAACTATTCTGGAAAACTGTATGGCAGTTTCTTATAAAGTTTCATATACTTGACCCAAGCAATTCCACTCCTAGGTACTTATACAAGAAAAATGAAAACATATGTAGTATGCACAGAGTTGTTTAAAAATGTTCATAGCAGGAATATTCACAATAGCTAAAAACTGGAAATAATCTAAATGTACATCAATAGGAAAACTGATAAACAAATTGTGATATTAATGGAATATTACTCACCAAAAAACAAAACAAAACAAAAAACTACTGATAAAACAACATGGATAAATCTTAAATTGGTATTGAATAAAATAAGCTAAACACAGAGTTCAAAGTACACTTCCTTTTATACAAAGTTCTAGAATAGGCAAAAATAAACTATGGTGCCAGAAATCAGAACAGTAATTGCCTTTGGGAAGGGGGAGTAATTGAAAATGGGCATAAGTCAACTTTCTGGGGTAACAATGTAAGGGTTCTATATCTTGATTAGGGTGGTTCTTACATAGGTATATACACTGGTCAAAACTCACCAAAACTGGGCCAGGCGCGGTGGCTCACACCTGTAATCCCAGCACTTTGGGAGGCCGAGGCAGGTGGTTCACGAGGTCAGGAGATTGAGACCATCCTGGCTAACATGGTGAAACCCTGTCTCTAGTAAAAATACAAAAAATTAGCCGGGCACTGTGGCGGGCACCTGTAGTCCCAGCTACTTGGGAGGCTGAGCCAGGAGAATGGCGTGAACCTGGGAAGCGGAGCTTGCAGTGAGCCGAGATCGTGCCACTGCACTCCAGCCTGGGCAACGGTGAGACTCTAACTCAAAAAAATAAATAAATAAATAAACTCATCAAAATTGTACACTTAAAATCTGTGTATTTTATACTATGTGAATAATAACTCAGGGGTTTTTTTGTTGCTGTTGTTGTTTAAAGCATCTCCACTAAGGGAAGAGCGCTTAGACCATCTCTGGATTTTTGTTTGCTAAGGAAAAGTCCACATTATCCTGGCTTTATCAAACACCCGGATCTCAGAAACTTCTCTTTTTGGTACAAATAGAACTTAAAAAAAAAAAAAAAAACCCTCAGTATTCTCTCACCTATCAATGAAAGGAGAAAATATTAAGAATGTTTGACTAGATGATTTTTATACTGTCAACTAAACAAAGCAGAAAACATGGAAAACAAAGTATTTGAGAGAGAATGATTTTATTATTGTTCTGCTGCCAAACACTGTATCTTTTTAGTGTCCCGACAGATTTTTCCCAGGACTATTTATTTATAGGTGCTATATGGCAGACTATTTTTTTCTATTTGACACAGTAGTTTAAGTCATCATTAAGACCATTTTAAATAGCGAAGAAAAAAGAAAAACCACAGAAAGCTAAAAAACTCCAAAAATACCTTTATTATCTGAGCTAGAGACACACTCTCCTGCTGAGCAAGTGAAATGCCTCTAACTCTTTCTACATCTGACAGTTGGCGCACCGACTCCTCAATGGCGTTCAGATAACTGAGTTCTGCTGCCATACGATGATGGAGGCCAGCAGGAGAAAAGCGCTTAGAACCTGGAAGGCATGACAATGGTCAAATGGAAAAGTTAACATGAAATTACACTCAGATTTCTAAAATCTGTCATTTTAAGAGCCAAAATCAACTTTGCTTTCCTTTGTAGAAAAAACTGGGACTCAGTACAGAATACCTTGGAGATACTGCAGGTTCAGTTCCAGACCAAAGGAATAAAGTAAATAACAGAATAAAGCAAGTCACACAAATTTTTTGGTTTACCAGTGCATATAAGAGTTATATTTGCACTATACTGTAGTCTAGTAAGTGTGCAATAGCATTATGTCTAAAAAAAGTACATACTTTAATTTAAAAATACTGTATTGCTAAAAAAATGCTAATGATCATCTTAGCCTTCAGCAAGTCCTAATCTTTTTGCTGGTGGAAGGTCGTACCTCAATGTTGATAGCTACTGACTGATCATGGTGGTTGCTAAAGGTTGGAGTGACTGTGGCAACTTCTTAAAATAAGACAATAATGAAGTTTACTGCATCGATTGACTCTTGCTTTCACAAAAGATTTCTCTGGAGCATGTAATGCTGTTTGGTAGCATTTGACCCACTTTCTGTAGAACCTCTTTCAAAACTGGAGATAATCCTCTCAAACCCTGCCACTGCTTTATCAATTAAAGTTTATGTAATATTTACATAATTACTGTCATTTCACTAGGAGTAGATTCCATCTCAAGAAACCACTTTCTTTGCTCATGCATAAGAAGCAACTACTCATTCATTCAACTTTTGTCATGAGACTGCAGCAATTCAGTAACATCTTCAGGATCCAATTATAATTCTAGTTCTCTTGCTATTTCCACCGTATCTGCAGTTATTTCCTCCACTGAAGTTCTGAACCCCTCAAAGTCATCCACGAGGGCTGGAATCAACTTCTTCCAAGCTCCTGTTAATGCTCATAGTTTGATCTCCTTCCACGAATCACAACTGTTCTTAATGGCATCTAGAACAGTGAATCCTTTCCAGAAGGTGATCAATTTACTTTGCCCAAATCAGCAGAGGAATCACTATCTATGGCAGCTATAGCCTTACACAATGCATTTCTTAAATAATAAGACTTAAAAGTTGAAATTACTACTTGATCCATGGGTACAGAATAGACTTTGTGTTAGGGGACATAAAAACATTAATCTCCTTTTTTATGACCATCAGAGCTCTTGGATGACCAGGTGCATTGTCAATAAGCAGGAATAAATATTTTTTCAAATTCTGAAAAAAACACTTTGAAAAAAATCTTTTATTTTTCTGGGCAGTAGGTCTCAACAGTGGGCTTAGAATACTCAGTAAACCTGAGGGCTGTAAACAGATGTGCTGTCATTCAGGCTTTCTTGTTCCATTAATACAGCACAGGCAGAGTAGATTTAGCTTAATTCTTTAGGACTCTAGGATTTTCAGAATGGTAAATGAGCATTAGCTTCAACTTTAAGTCATCAGCTGTATTAACCCCTAAATAGACAGTCAGCTCATCCTTTGAAGCTTTGAAGCCAGGCACTAACTTCTCTCTAGTTATCAAAGTCCTAGATGACATTTTCTTCCAACATAAGGTTATTTCATCTACGTTGGAAATCTGTTTAGTGTAGCCACTTTCATCAACTATCTTCTGGATAACTTGCTGCAACTTCTACATTAGCACTTGTTGCTTCACCTTGCACTTTTATTTTATAGAGATGGCTTCTTTCTTTAACCTCTGCTAGCTTCCAACTTTTCTTTTGCAGTTTCCTCACCTCTCTAGGGCTTCACAAAATTGAAGAGTATTAGGGTCTTGCTCTAGATTAAGCTTTGGCTTAAAGATGCCACTGGCTTGATCTTCTATCTTGGTCCCTAAAACTTTCTCCATATCAGCAATAAGGCTATTTTGTCTTCTTATCTGTCATTCATGTGATACCTTTCATTTCCTTCAAAAACTTTTCCTTTGCATTCACAACTTGGCTAACTGGCACAAGAGGCCTAGCTTTTGGCATATCTTGGCTTTTGACATCCCTTCGTCACTAAGCTTAATCATCTGTAGCTTCTGATTTAAAGTGAGAGATGTGACTCTTCCTCTCACGTGAATACTTAGAGACCATTGTAGGGTTAGTAATTGGCCTAATTTTAATATTATTGTGTCTCAGGGATAAGGAGGCCAGAGGGAGGGTTGAAGAGGGGAACGGGGTGAGTTGGTGGAGCAGTCAGAACACACACAACATTGATCCACTAAGTCTGCCCTCTTAAACGGACATGGTTGGTGGCACCCAAAACAATTAGTAATACAACAGGAACATCAAAGATCGCTAATCACAGATCACCGTAACAGATATAGTAATAATGGAAAGCCTGAAATATTGAGAGATTTATCAAAATTGTGGACACAGGGACATGAAGTGAGCACATGCTGCTGGAAAAATGGCACTGATGAATTTGTTCAATGCCATGAGCCTTTAATTTGTAAAGAAAAAAAAAAAAAGACAAAAAAACCCCGCAGTATCTGTGAAATGCAATAAAGCCAAGCACAATAAAACAAGGTATGCCTATACAATGTACTTTACTTCTATGTGTGTGCATGCGTACATGTGTGTATACATGCATATACATATAAACAGGAGTGCACATATGGGACATATTTTTCAGATATGTTTTGACTAATGCTGGCTGACAAGATGGGAAAAAAGTCAACATTACTGAACCTCTCGTGCTTTTCAATATTTAATTTCTTGCAGTTTTTAATACTTGAAAAGTAATCATATTCACTTGAAATAATATTTCTCTATGACTCAACTCAAACAAAGAAAAGGAATGTTGAGAGAAAAAAATTTCATATCGTATTCTAAAAATTACAATTGCATGAATCTACTTACCTGGTATTGGAGCCATGTTCTCTGTCGTTGTTCTGCTGGCTGCCGGGTTCAGATCAGTGAGAGGTGCATTAGGCTTAAATCCTGTTATAGTTGGAGGCATTACTGACGACTTAGATCTTTCTGAAGAAGTTCCTGCAACGTCAAACTGCAATGATTTCTGGGAACTTGGTGACAGGGGAGAAGTTGGAGTTTTCTGAGATCTTCCCTTATCTGATGAGACACTAGAAGTTTTGATCCACAAAAACATTAGAGGAAGGAAAAGTACTTTGTAAACCAGCTAAATAATTCAAAAGAACAACATATAAAAAAACTATCAACATTAGCTTTAAAAAGTTGTGATTTAGGCATTTATTCATTAATATAATCACTATGCTGAATGAATGACTATGAATATTCCTCTAATTGCTAGAATTACAGTGGTGAACAAGCAAGGCACAAACCCTGCCCTAAATACAATGGAAAGGGAGTAGCTTGATTAAACTAGCACTGAACTCTTCCCTCTACAGTGTACATATACTATGATTCACTCATTATAGCATGAAGCAAAGTCTTCTAAAATAGACACTCTACAGCAATAAAATTGGAGCCATATATGAGTCTTAAAATACATCTCTGAAAGCGAATAAAATATTTTATGTTAAAAGGTAAGAAAAGACAAAAACTATTCTTTTGTTATACCCTCTTGTTGATCCAAGAATCACAGAAAAAAATTTCACACTATTCATCTCTAAATACTTAATATACTTCATTTCTTTATATCTGCTTTTTAATACTACATCTCTTTCTTGAACTTTCTAATAAGTAACATAACAGTTTGTAACAACTCTTAAGGCATTTAATTCAATACAAGGCACGTTTCTAGCCTTTCTTTGAAAAAGTAAGCTCATTAAAGGTATTATTTCTTGTAACATCAAGCATGTTGCCTTGCACTGAATATTTATTTACTGAATAAATTATTCAAAGATACTCTATAAAGCATTTTAGCACAGTTATATTGCCAATATACTGAAACAAGTTTGCTTTTAGCTTCTAATAAAATGATGAAATAGCTTTCAAAGGTAAAAATTTCTCTTATACCCAGCATAAAAATAGTTGAATAGAAGTAGGCCTGAGAGGCACTCATGTGTTTATTTGACCCTTAATTTTCTATTGATACTTTAGATAAATACTATTTCTAACAGTCTATTTCATGTATGAAACACAAAAAGAATGATCATTTTAACAGATTTCTGTTAAATAATTAAAACACAACATCAAAGAAAACAAAGTACTCTGCACCTCACCTTAGGGTTTTATAAGATGAATTTATATTTGCTATGCAGATAAAATTTAGCTAGACTAGCATTTCTAAAAGTATATTTCCAATAATGTTAATAAGCTTTCCCCAAAAGAAAGCAAAAGAGCTTGGGGACAAAGAGTGACTACAGGCAAATAGGAAAAAAAAAAAAGAGGTTAAACAATTTTTGAAAAATCTGGACTTCTCCTTATCAAAGCCTCAAATTATTTTATCTCTGTGAATCTCCATGGGTAGGGAAGGGGAAATCTAGATTGCAGTATGGGGCATTGATGAAACTTATTTGGCTATGGATCTCATTAAGAAATGTTTAACTTTGTAAATTTCATCAAGTTAAATCATCAGAGTAATTCTTAAGGAAAGGTAAAGTTTTCTAAATTCCAAAATCACTGACAAAGAAAAAAAATTTAATTTTAAACACAGAAATAATGGTATTAATGATGCAAAATTATTTGTAACATGAAAGCACTAAAAATGGTAATCTTTATGTGTCACAGTACTAGAAAAAGCACAAAGTTACTTTAAAAGGAAAAAATAAATCTGTGTCTTCTCAGAGCCTCAATTTCCAAGACAAAACCAGTGCACACATGAAAAGTCATATGGACAAATGAGTAGGAACTGTATAGCTAGCAACAACTGAAGGTTATTTGTAAGCAACGGACTAAGTGCATCGTATACAATATTAGAAAGAAGAGAAAAAACAGTACGCAAGCTCCATAATCAGTAAGAGTGAGATTTCAAAATCTGCCTGAGTGGTCTAGTAAGTTCAGCAGAAAAGTTGAGAGGAAGAAATAAACAATAAGACAATAAGGATGCTAAGTAGCTGTGTTGAAAGAATGGATGAATAGATGAGAATTGACATTTATAGACAAAAGAAATGAGATAGTTTGTGGTAGCCCAGTGAAAACACTTCAAGTAGAGTTATGCACTTAGAATTGATCTATGACCTCACAAAGCACCCTAAGCAGGGTAGCTGCTTAGTCAAAAGATTGAGCCAAGAAAACAATTGTAACAACGGCATTCAGCATAGAAAACTGGGCTGTGCTAGAGGGAGAGAATTCCTGAGAAAGAGGTTGTAACAGTTTAGATGATACATAACCATATTCTAATATACAGATAAAGATTAGAGCTGTGAACAAAGCTATGAAGTCTATTTGTAAAATACAGAATTTTGTAGTAGCTCAGACATGCACAGTTAAGGGGACTGCTGAGTTAAAATTCATTATATGGATTTTTTGAATATCAATTATATATCTTTAATTATATATAAATTACAGTATAAAATATACATTACCTCACAGAATGTCCAGAAAGATCCTCCAAAGTGCTATCTGTATCAAGAGTCTGCTCAAAATCTTTAACAGAAAGTTTGCTGCTGGTCCCAGATTTCTTTCCTTGATGGGAGCCACGTTCTGCTTTTTCCTCATCAAGAAGTGAGTTCTGAACATTTCCAGTGAATGAATCCAACCCTGTAAAGTAAATTTCTTATAAAGCTGATTCCCAATATTAGAAGTTATTGAGAGAGATAATTGATATATAGATTTCAATAAAATAACAAAAAGTATAAATCAGAATATTTAAAATTTGACTTATACTATATTCAAAATCTGTTTTCCATATCTAAAATAAAGCAGTTCATCCTTCTGTCTCTATTTAAGGAAAGTGAAGTTTCTTCCATTAATTCCACTTGCTATTAATAAATCATTCTTAGTGCAATAGTAATAAAAGATAAATATATTAAATAACAATAAAATACTAATCTATCCCTATGAAAAAGTAACCAAAAAGAATTTTTTAAAGGATAAAATCCAGAGCTGGGAGAAAAATCGTACCAACTGCTAATTGAACTACATAATTCTTTTGAAAAAGTCTATGGTAAGAACTATGTAGCCTGATTTATAAAAATATTCACATTCTCTGACTCTCAATAATTTTACTCATAGGAATATATCTTAAGAAGATGACTGAAACAAAAATTATGCATGTTATTCAATGGGTAACTCTGTAACTCAAAGAAATTTAATCTACATTTCTAACAAGAGAATACCTGTCTAAATCACATAGATAATAGTAACCTGAACATTTATATAGGACATTGTAATTCAAATGCACTTCATATATAGTACCTTATTGCTCTTAAACATGTTATGAAATAAGTACTATATCCCAAATTTACTGATGAGGTAACTAGAGATCTATGGGGCTTAATAACTTGCTTCACAAGGTATTCTGCTCTGATCAACAGCAGAAATGACATACACCCAGGCCTCCTGACTCTAGTCTAGTACACTATTCATCTTGATTGTATGTTTAAACAGCAGCATGGGAAAATATTTATTATTACCTTTTAAAAAAAGCAGATTACAAAACTGCATATAAATTTTAATAGTGGCCCAAATTTTAAATATAAAATATATATTTCACATATTATATATATATTATGTTTATATATACACACATATGTATATATATACATATATACACATATATACTTATGTGTATATATACGTTAAAATTTTTGTAAAAATTTATTGTAAAATTACTATATATACTTTAAAATATATATATATATATACAAAAAATTTAAAGTTAAACTTTAAAGATATATATGGTTAAAGAGCAAAAGAAAATACAAAAGTGAAATAAAAAATACCCTTTATACTCGTATTCATAGCAGTATTACTCAAAATAGTCAGAAGATGAAAGCAACCCAAATGTCCGTGAACTGATGAATGGATAAACAAAATGTGGTTTATACATACACGGGAATATTATTCAGCCTTAAAAGGAAGAACATTCTGACACATGCTACAATACAGATGAACCTTGAAGACATTATGCTAAGTGAAATAAGCCAGTCACAAAAGGACAAATATGATTCCACTTACATGACACAGCTAGAATAGGCAAATTCATAGAGAGAAAGTAAAACAGTTGTCACTAGGTGCTGGGAGAAGAGGAGAATGAGAGTTATTATTGAATGGGTATAGATTTTAGTTTGGGATGATGAAAATGTTCTGGAGATAGATAGTGATCATGATGGCAAAACAATGTGAATGTACTTAATGCTAATGAACTGTACAGTTGAAAACGGTTAAATTCCCTAGTGAAATTCATAGAGACAGAAAGTTAGAATGGTGGTTGCCAGAACTGAAGGGACGGAGGAATGGAGAGTTATTGCTGAATGAATACAGAGCTTCAGTACGGGAAACTGAGAAAGTTCTGAAGTTGAGTGGTGGGGATGATTGTACAACAGTATAAACGTGCTTAATGCCACTCAACTGTACACTTAAAACAGAATATTATTAATCAATTAGAAAGGACTCTATAAAGTCTATTTAGGATCCCGAGGCTAGAAGCAAGCTGTTAATACTGATTATTGCTAATTTTTCTACAATAAAGCTGTACTGCTTTCATAGTAAGAACGCTTTATTCACTTAATATTGTTTGTTGACAATAAATACACAACTTAAAATTTTTTCTTGACTTTAAACAACTAGAAATTATAGACAAGATAACATTCTGTGCAAGAAAGGCCTACACTCCAGTCCAGGGACCCATATGAAAAGAAAATGTCCTGACATTAAAAGATTGCCAAGTAAAGCCATATTCCATATCTTAAAGCAAATTTTTTTCCCCTAGGATTACCACTTTAATCTACCAACTACTTTCAACTACACTGGGTAAATTTTTGTACAGAGCAGGCAGACACTCCTTTTCACCACCAGATGGAACATATACAATTAAAATCACACTGATTTTAGAACTTGGGGATGAAGGAGAAACTAAGTTTAAGAAGATGCTGTGGAAAGTGAAATATATCAGGGTTTTTCTGGTATTGCCGGTGAGGATTAGGGAAACTGAAAGCCACAAAATGCTACCTATACTTCATCTTATCTGTTTTAGATGATAATGTTTTAAACCTACATTAAATCATATTATTAATACACATATACTCAATAAATCATGATTTTTTCTTTTTTTTTGAGACAGGTCTAGCTCTGTTGCCCAGGCTGGAGTGCAGTAGCATGATCATGGCTCACTGCAGCCTCAACTTTGGGGACTCAACTGATCCTCCCACCTGAGCCTCTCCAGTAGCTGGAGCTACAGGTGTGCGCCACCACGCCTGGATAATTTTTCTATTTTTTCTAAAGACAGGGCTTCACCATGTTGCCCAGGCTGGTCTCGAACTCCAGGAGTTTGAACTCCTGCATCAAACGATCCACCCACCTCAGCCTCACAAAATGCTGAGATTATAGGAGTGAGCTACCATGCCCAACCTATATCATGATATTTCAAAATTGTGCAGTATATCATACCAGAAGATAGACTGGATTTGGGAGTCAGAAGTCAGAATCTGGGCTTTGCCAATAACAAGTTAGTGACCTTAGGTGAGACACTAACTTAGCAAACGCTAACAATTGCAAAATAAGAATTGAGCAAGATCAGCATTTCCCAAACTGTGTTCAGCTGAATTCTAATGCCATAAAATGATGATTGATGATTCAGTAGTCAAAATACACTTGGAAAATGCTTCATACTACAGCCTCATCCTTATCCTAAAATAAGTAATGCACTAGCATATTACAGTGTTGATGAGTCTTACAGGAAAGAATCTTGTTTCACTCTAAAAGAATTTCCCAAATTTCTGGAACCATGGAGCTCTTTTATTCTCAGAACACTTATGAAACAGTCTATACCACTAAACTTGTATTTCACAAGAAAATACAGTTTCGGAAGTGCTGGTAAAATGATGTCTAAATGTCCTACAAAGACTTTCAGAACACTTCTAAACTGTTTATATTAGGTTAATGATTTAAAAATAATTTCTCCTAGCATTCTCATTGGACGTATAAACTGGCACTAACTTTCTGAAAGGCTATTTGACAAAATGTACCACATTTTAAACATGGCATATTATTTGCCCCATTATCTTATCTCTAGGATTTTCCCCTATAGGAAAAAAACAGACTAATGCATAAAGGTGTATTTACAAGGATATTCAATGCAGTAGTATTTATAATGGAATAAAGAAAAAAGAAAATAACCTAAATATCCAGCAATGGGGAAAGAGTTAAATAAATTATAATATATTCAAATAACAAGCCAGGTGCAGTGGCTCACGCCTATAATCCCAGCACTCTGGGAAGCTAAAACAGGTGGATTGCTTGAGCCCAGGAGTTTGAGACCAGCCTAGATAATATGGCAGAAGCCATCCCTACAAAAAAATAGAAAAATTAGCCAGGTGGGGTGTTGTGTGCCTGTAGTCCCAGCTACTTGGGAGGCTGAGTGGAAGGACTGATGGAGCCCAGGATGTTGAGGCTACGGTGAGCCATAAGCCGTGATCACACCACTGTACTCCAGCCTGGGTGATAGAGTGAGACCCTATCTCAAAAAACAAAACAAAAAAAGCCAAAACAGAATAGTATTCTGTTACTTAATGGGTCTAGAGTTTATTTAGTGGGTAATCCTTACAAATGGTAATCCATATTTACTGACAGAAAAAGATACCCATACCCTACAGACAGAATAAAATTGCATGTAAAATGTGATCCCATACACATAAAATTGCCTATTTGTGTGTGCCTACAAATTGTCTGGAAGGACTCTTGCTAAAAATGTTAACATTTCACGCCCATTAGGATGTCCTATTATCAAAAAAGCAGAAAATATAAAGTGCTGGCATAAATGTAGACAAAATAGAACCCTGTGCATTGCTGGTGGGAAAGTAAAATGGTACAGCTGCTATAGAAAACATTATGGCAGTTCCTCAAAAAATTAAACATGGCATTACCATTTGATCTAGCAATTCTGTATCTGGGTAAAGCAGGGATTCAAATAGGGTATTTGTACACCAATGTTCATAGCAACATCATTCACAATAGCTAAAAGGTGGAAAATACCAAAATGTCCATCAACAGATGAATGGATAAACAAAATATGGCATACACACAGCATGGAGTATTATTCAGCAATAGAAAGAAAGGAAATTCTGATACATGCTGCAACATAGATGAACGGTGAGTCAGATATTATGCTAAGTGAAATAAGCAAGATAAAAAGGACAAATACTCTATTATTCCACTTATATGAAGTACGCAGAGTAGTCAAATTGATAGGGACAGAAAACAGAACAGTGGTTACCAGCGGCTGATGGACAGAAGAATGGAGTTATTATTTAATGGATACAGAGTTCAGTAGGGGAATATGAAAAATTTCTGGAGAAGGACAGTGGTGATGCTTGCAACAATAATGTGAATGTACTTAATGTCACTGAACTGTATATTTGAAAATGGTTAAAATGATAAATTCTATGTCATGTATATTTTACCACAATTAAAATAGGCAGAGGGCAATGGCTTATGCCTACAATCCCAACATTTTGGGAGGCGGAGGCAAAAGGATTGCTTGAGCCCAGGAGTTCGAGACCAGCCTGGGCAACAAAGTGAGGCCCTCGTCTCTGCAAAATAAATAAGATAAAGTGAAATAAATAAAATAAATACTTTTTTTTTTTTTTTGACACAGAGTCTCACTCTGTCGCCCAGGCTGGAGTGCAATGGCGCAGTCTCGGCTCACTGCAACCTCTGCCTCCTGGGTTCAAGCGATTCTCCTGCCTCAGCCTCCCGAGTAGCTGGGATTATAGGCACCCACCAACATGCCTGGCTAATTTTTGTATTTTTAGAGACGGTGTTTCACCATATTGGCCAGGCTGGTTTAAATGTTAACATCCGTTATCTCTAAGAGAAAGAACTAGAGGAGATTTACTTTTAAATATAGGTTTCTATATTCATTGATGTCTTCCTCCTATTCCTGTTCCTTCCACCCCCTGAAGACTTTTAGCTCAATGAGTAGGATTTATTTTATGTATTTTTTATTTTACTTTAAGTTCTGGGATACATGTGCAGAACATGCAGGTTTGTTACAGAGGTATATATGCGCCATGGTGGTTTGCTACACCTATCAACCCATCATCTAGGTTTTAAGCCCCGCATGCATTAGGTATTTGTCCTGATGCTCTCCCTTCCCTTACCCCTAACCCCCCGACAGGTCCCAGTGTGTGATGATCCCCTCCCCGTGTCCATGTGTTCGCATTGTTCAACTCCCACTTATGAGTGAGAACACGCGGTGTTTGGTTTTCTGTTCCTGTGTTAGTCTGCTGAGAATGACAGCTTCCAGCTTCCAGAAAAAACATTTTTGGAAGCAAAATCATTCCCCTAGCTAGACACCATCCTGTGAGTTTACAAAGCCTTTGCCTAATCACTTTGTACAGTGATTATCCATCTCCGTAGGCCTATAGAGCAAATTTAAGCCAAGAGTAGAAATGAGGACATTGAAGGGCATCTCAATCACTCAAAAATATTTACTGAATGCCAATGAGTCAGCTACAGTGCTAGGTACCGGAATGTATACATTATCTCCCTTAATTTCATATAAGCTTAAAAATTACCATATCTATTATTATCTCTATTTTATAGATAAGGACATTTGGGTATTATATTTAATGATACTCAGAGATGTATATACTATAAAGTTTTTTTAAAAAACCAACTGCAAAGCAATTATTTACATTTGTTTTTAAAATAAAGTCATGTGTCCCAGCACTTTGGGAGGCCAAGGCGGGTGGATCACGAGGTCAGGAGATCGAGACCATCCTGGCTAACATGGTGAAACCCCGTCTCTACTAAAAATACAAAAAATTAGCTGGGTGCGGTGGCGGGCGCCTGTAGTCCCAGCTACTCGGGAGGCTGAGGCAGGAGAATGGCATGAACCTGGGAGGCGGAGCTTGCAGTGAGCCAAGATCACGCCACTGCACTCCAGCCTGGGCGACAGAGTGAGACTCCGTCTCAAAAAAAAAAAAAAGTAAATAAATAAAGTCATGTGTGTGTATAATTTTACGTATACATCAAAAATGTTAATAGTAGTTAATCTCTGAACAGAAGTCTCAAAGGAAATTTGTCTTTCTTTGAAGAGTGTTTATCTCTAATTTTTAATTTTTTATCATTGCAAATGTATTCCTTTTGTATTAAGGAAAAGATTCATGATGTTATATATCAAAAGGTATTATTATAATGATAAATAAATATGAAAGCTAATTACATTACCATAAGAAATTCTTCTAACTTCTTATGCAATCAAATCATAACTTTAGATTACTACAACAAAATCATTGGTAAGAGAAAAAGTTACCATGTGGAATTCCACTTACATTCTGTCTTTTCCTTTTTTCCTTTCTTTCCTTTAGAAGAAGTAGATGAACGAGACGATGCAGCAGACTGGGCTCCTGATGAATGCTGGGAGGTAACATCCACAGAGGAAGGATCATAGGCAGACTTTCTGTTAGAATGGTCCTCCTGAGGGCTTAAAGTGCTACTGTCAAAGAATAAATAATAGTAGTTCCAGAAAGAAAAGTCTTACAACACAGCTAAATTAAAGATATTTAAAAATCTATGTAATCACTAGGAGACTATAACTACAATCAAAGATGGCTTAACACTTTATTATTTTTTTTTAACCACCATAAGCCTGGATTGTTCCCTATGGTTCAATTTATTACTAAGAAAAATCAAAGGTAAGTGAAACCAATAAAAACTAATATTTAGAGAAAAATGTATAATGTTGAATACTGGAAAATATGGCCTCAATTTCTATTCAAATTTATAATTTATATATTATAACTATTTCTCCTCTTATATTCTTATGGAGAACAATAACTTAATATGTTCTACCTCTACCTGGAAATAAAATGCATCAAATCATATTGATTGGTGATATTAAATGTCACCATAAATCTTTGAAGGTTTTTATTTAAAAATTTCATATTTTCCTTAGAGCTCAAAACTTAAAACTATGCTTTTTCTCATATAATTTTTATACTTATTCCTATTAATCTATTTAGATTTAACTAATTTGTATAAGATTACCTAATAATTTTACATGGATTACAATTTGTAATATTTGAAAAAGATGATATTAAATATGAATAATTACAGATAAATTTTTATGGCAGCTAAATATAGGGAGAAAATTCTCTCCAACGAAGTCTGATTCACTTACTATGTGACTATGTACAAGTAATTTAACCTCTGCTTCAGTTTGCTGTCTAAAACAGAAATGATAACAGTAATACTTTCCACATCAGGCTATCATAAAAATGAGTTAATACAGGTAAAGTCCCTCAGTCCTTTCAGTGTCTTGCACACTAAGTGCCCAATAATTATCAGATGTTATAATCATTATAATTATTGTTTTTCAAAGCTTTGCAAATTTTTCAATGTTTTCTTGATTATAAAGAAAATTACTTATTACTTGGAACCATGGAGTCATGTATCTATCTGATCTTCCTCAATTCTATCACAGAAAACCATTTCTTAAGCTTTTTATGTTAGTATAGCATGGAATAATTTCCCAATACTCCAATACTGTACTAGGAATTCATGGACTGATTTCATAACCTATACTCTGCTTACTATGTGCCAGGCCCTGTTCTAAGTAAGTGATTTTTTTTTCTTTCTTTTTTTGAGATAGGGTCAGCTTTGTCACCCAGGCTGGAGTGCAGTGGTGCAATCTCGGCTCACTGCAACTTCCACCTCCCAGGTTCAAGCGATTTTCGTGCCTCAGCCTCCCTATATTTCATTTAATACTCATAACAACTCTATGAGGCAGGCAGGTACTATTAATGTCCCCATTTTACAGAGAAGGAAGCAGAAGCATAGGAAGGCTAAGTAATATGTATAAATACAAACAACCAATAACCAGGAGAGCCTGGATTTAAACAAAGGCAGTCTGGATCCAGAGCCCATGCTCTGGATCTCCACTATGATGTGCAGCCTCTATATGTATTTTTAAATGAGCAAAACTTGGCTAATATTCAGACCAGAGTTCTCATTTGTACATTTTTCTCACTCTTCAGAGTTTATTCCATATTGCCAATATATCTTACTGAGGTTCAAGAGTTGATTTTTTTTCTGTCGAAGTCCCAGTCCCTGGAGAGGAGACAAAATCATCTTCATATGAAACACCACTTAGAGGAGTTGCGGTGGCATTCAAAGGCCGTGATGTTGATGTTCCTCTGTCCAACTTGTCTTCAAACCCTGACAAAAGTAATAATTGAAACATGGTTAAAAACGAAAATCAAGAAACTGTAAGAAAAGCATCCCATACATGGAGATTAGCAATATGGGCTTAGGGACATTTTAGTTTCCTTTAATAGTGCCTCTTTTCTATTTACCTTTATATCCAATGATACTTTTTTAAAGCTTTTAATTAGGAAAATTTTAAAACATACAGAAAACAGGGAGACTAGTATAATGAAACCAAAGTATTCATCATCCTGCTTCAACAATGACCAATACATCACCAATCTAGTTTCAAATAAACCTCCTACTACCTTCATCTCCCACCCCCCAGACTATTTTAAAGCAAATTCCAGACAACATTTCATTCTCATTTCATCTCTAAATATTTCAGTTTAACTATAAAATCTTAATGAAAATTTAACAGAATTTAAGAAGAAACAATTTTCTTATTAAAAATGATGTTGATTTAAGCATTTTACTTTCATCAAAAGAAATCAAAATAACTTTCAAATCAAAACAAATTTAAAATTACCACTAATAGAAATGTGGCTAAACAAAAGAAAGCAATAGCATATGAAGGTCTATACAAGACCATTAAGAAATACCTAAATATGAATTCTAGGAAAAAGCAATGTGATACCCAGTTGAGCATAAGAGGAACAGATGAAATCCATTCACTATATAGAGGGGAAATTTCCAATCCGGAAATTCTAAGATAATGTTAGTATAAAATGGGCAGATTCCATATATAGCAGGAAGGATAGAGAAAGGGACTTGAAGGAATTGAGTCTATCATAGAAAAGAAAACTGTGTTGCAGGATTTCAGGTATAAGAAGGGAACTTTAGAAGTTACTGTTTTAGGAATCAAATATATAGCTACATTATTGTTTAAAGTCTGATTGCTATTCAAATTAGTTTTAACAAACAGTAATAGAGTTGTTTTCATATTAGAAATGTTACTACATTTATCCCTCTCAATTCTTGATTGCTATATTCCCAAGAAGTCACAAATCATCACTGTGTTAAGAAACATACTTAGTTTCTTTTCTTTTTTTTTTGAGGAGTCTCGCTCTGTCGCCCAAGCTGGAGTGCAGTGGCATGATCTCAGCTCACTGCAACCTCCGCCTACCAGGTTCAAGCGATTCTCGTGCCTCAGCCTCCCAAGTAGCTGGGATTACAGGTGCATGCCACCACACTCAGCTAAATATTTTTTGTATTTTTAGTAATGGTGGGGTTTCACCATGTTGGCCAGGCTGGTCTTGAACTCCTAACCTCAAGTGATCCGCCCGCCTTGGACTCTGAAAGTCCTGGGATTATAGGCATGAGCCACCGCGCCTGGTTTATACTTAGTTTCTACTGAAGTACATAACTATGGTCACAGAAAATGTAGTATATACGTGATATATATCCAATCCTGAACATCATCTATGAATTTCTCTGAACTAGATAAAAATTTCTAAAGCTACCAGTCTCAACTATTATTTTATGATAATAACAATTTTAAAATGAAATTTTAAAGATTAAATTACTAATACTCTTACTTAAGGCTTGCAGGAAATTTAGAAGATGACTAATACGGACAGTAATAAGTCTCCATTATCCACTCAACGAAAAATGTGTACTAAAGTACATATCTCATACAGAAATTATAAAATAATTCATCTTAATATACAAACAGTACAAGCTATATTTATTTTTCTCACCTTTTCCATATAACTGATAGGATTTTGTAAAAATATTAATGACGCTATGTGGACTTCCCTTTGCCAATTCTTCCCATGGTCCTTTGCTTTGTGTACCACCTATGTGCCCAAAAAGTGGCAAGAATTTTTCAGCTTCTTTCTGAAACTCTTTGATGGGTTCATAACTATTTCTTTCTCCAGGACAAAATTCCTTTTCTTTTAAAATTTCTGCTACTTTCAAAAGGGGCTGTCCATCCTGGTCTCCCTCTTCTTCAGAGAGACTCCCCTCACTAAGAAGAGGCCCTTCACTGACTGAATCTATGCTGGAACCAAGAGATATTTTGGCTTTGTCTTGAGAACAGGCTTGCATATCAGAGCTAGAAGAGTCAGTCTGCCTTTTACATAACTGTGCCAGTAGCCCTTCTGGTTTGGGACCAGGGGATCTCACTCTAAAGCTTGATATGGCACTCTGTGGTCTTATCATCTCAGGAAGCTTTTTAAATTCACTAAGATTGCCTACACCAGGAAGATCATCATCAAAAGTTGCATGAGATACACAGCTTCCCAGCATCTTCTGAATTCTGGCAGAGAAAACATCTTCATTATCATCTTTCACAGGTGGAGTTACAGCCTTGGTCCAAGGTCCATCTTCTTGAGGTGCCTGCTGCACATCATACTCAGTGTTCCATGCTGACCCATAGTTAATGCTGGCCCCAGCTAATTTCTTGGCTTCACTTTCAATTCTGCTGGACAAAGAAGCAGCTGTTGCTTTCAAGGCTTCAATACGATCCAGTTTACTCTTATATTGGCTGGCACTAGGTTTTAACAAGGCATCTGTATAAGCAGCTGGTGAGGTCACATATGGTTGAGGTGTAAAAGTTAATGGCCTTGAAGCCATATTATGATTCTTCCTGGTTGGTAAAATAGATTCAAAATCCTTATGCAAAATTCCTACATGCTCTAAACTCAAGAGATGGGAGAGTAAACTTCCAGCTGTTCCAGCAAAAGGCTGTGGTTGAGAATGGTGAACTTGTGGGCTCAATCTTTCAGGCTGCATCCATGTAGATTCCATCAAGTCTTTTCTGGAAATGAAAGTCACAATATGTTAGTTAACTAAACCACCATTTTAAAAAAGTTTTTTTTTTATCTGATTATAAGAGTAATGAGGATGCACTGCAACAAAAAAAGGACAGATAAAAAATATAAAAAAGATAAAGATCACTCAGCAAAACAATAAAAAAGAGGCACTGTTAATATTTCATTTAGAATTATATCCTTCCAAACATTTTTCTATTTGTACATTATGTTTTGGTGGTATTGTTTGTACAAAAATGGGATTTTACCATATATACTGTTTTGCAAGCTGCTTTTTTCAACTAAGATGCCATATTTTTAAAAAACTATTAAAAAGGCAATAAGATCTTTAAAATTCTATAAACAGAATTCCTTACAATACTGATTATAATTTTTAAAATAACATTACATAAAAGAGAAATGCTTAAAATTGCTAAATATTAATGTAGACATGATATAGATTATTCTAATCAACAAATATTTACTATATGCTGAACACTTATGTTTAACAATGTACATGCTAAATAGGGAGGTTATTATAACCTATTAATACTTGTAAAAAATTAATGAACGTGAAACAATCAAATGCAAAACTATCAGTGCCAACTATAAATATGCAACTATAAATACAAATATACAGGGTAGGGTATCCATTAAGTCTAGAAACAGAATAAAGATGTCCTAAACAACATTATGTGTATTTACCTATATTTCCAGACCATAGACTTCCTCTATATTAAGGGATACTACAGAGAGATTACAGGATGATGTCAACTATTAAGAAGACCCTTAGAGGAACAGGCCAGGAACAGCGGCTGATGCCTGTAATCCCAGCACTTTGGGAGGCCAAAGCAGGCAGATGACTTGAGGCCAAGAGTTTGAGATCAGCCTGGGCAAAATGGCGAAACTCATCTCTACTACAAATACCAAAAAATTAGGTGGGCATGGTGGCATGTGCCTGTAGTCCCAGCTACTTGGGAGGTTAAGGCACAAGTATCGCTTGAACCCGAGAGGTGGAGGACGCATTGGGCCGAGATCGTGCCACTGCACTCCAGCTGGAAGACACAGTAAGACTGTCTCAGAAAAAAAAAAAAAAAAAGAAAGAAAGAGAAGACGAACATGAGGCTTTGTCCTTGGTCTTGTCCATTATTTTAGGATGATGACACAAAGATATGCTTATCAAACTTGCAGATGACAGAAAGCTGGGAGGCATGGCTGACCCAACAAATGACCAAATTATGAGATGAATTTATTTTTATAGGCTGCAATCGTAAACCAAACTAATATGGATAAATGTAAACTTCTGCAATTGGGTTAAAATAAGTCATCTGAAGGGGGGTAACCAGGGTAATAATAAGTTGAAAAGCATGTCATTAGAATGAAGGAAGAAAGACTAGAGCACAGATTCTATGCCTTAGAATATAGGCTATTACAAATGCAAAGTGTGAGGCTATTGGGGCCTAAACTAAGCTGGTAGTAATAGGAATACAAGGGAAGTTATAATATAAAAGATATTGATGAATAAAAATCCAAGAGCTTTAAATTCAAGTATTTAGAATGCCAATTTTATAGCAGGTGATATGTTGATGGTAGAGAAACAGGAGACAAAAATGAATATACTTAATCCAGTTAATCCTGAGCTGGGCATGGTAGCTCACACCTGTAATCCTAGCTACTTGGGAGGCTGAGGCAGAAGAATCAATCACTTGAGGCCAGAAGTTCAAGACCAGCCTGGGCAACATAGCAAGCTCCTCATCTCCAAAAAAATAAAAAACAAAATAAAATTAGCCAGGCGTGGTGGTGCATGCCTATAGTCACAGCTACTTAGGAGGCTGAGGTGGGAGGATCACTTGAGTCCAAGAGGTTGAGGCTGCAGTAAGCTATGATCGTGCCACTGCACTCTAGCCTGTGTGAAAAAGCAAGACCCTGTCTCCAAATTAAAAACAAATAAAAAGGCTTAATCCTTACACTTTAAGATCTCAAGATCTAGCAGGGATGACAAACAAACAGCTAAAATAAGACATCACAAATACTAAAACAAAGATTTAAAAAGTTCAGTAGGGTATAGATGAAGCAGCAATTAACTCTGCTAGCCAAGGAAAGTGTTTGTTAAGCTGGATCTTCAGTTTTCAAGGTGAGATATGAAACCTGGAGTTTTCCAGGTAGTTAACACAATATGCTATAAAGAGTAAGGAAAAGAAATGCCAAATTTTAAGCAAAAAGTAACATGCTTTTAAACATAAAGTTATGCTAAAACTATTAACGGGAATGGGGGAGCTCAGAAGCTGGGTAGCAAGAAAGTGGACGCAATAAGTTAGACATCAGGAGTCAAAGAAGTTGGATATTAAAAGAAAAGTGAGAAACTGGTACAAGGTAGTATGGTCTAACACTAGATTTGTTTGTGTTTGGCTTGCTTTTAATATTGGATAACTTGTTTAGAATTAGAAGGAAATTCAGAGAAAGATAAAAATTGAAGACATTAATATAGCAGGGTATGTCTGACAACAATAGGACTGAGATGAACTAGAGAGTATCACCCATCTAAAAGCATTCAATCCTCTCCAGAGACGACACTTAGAAAAATAAGTAAATAAATAGAAGCATTCAAATTCAAAACAAAAATGTTAAGTTTATTTATACTTAAAGTTTGAAATGTATTTAGAACCTTAAGCAAATCATATGAAACATTTCACTTTTGGGGAGTAGTATGTAGAGTAGTTAAAGCACAGGCTTCTAGAGTCACACTGGCTAAATTAAAACCTATCTCTATCATTAATGTTTTGACCTTTGAGAAAGCTTTCTAGGCCTCAATTACCTCTTCTGTAAAACAGGAATAACAACAGTACCTAACTCAAGGAATTACAAGGATTAAGTAAAATAATATATGCAAAGTACTTAGATCATTGCCTGGAACCTAAGAAACATTAATAAATGTTAGCTATTTTTATTGACAGTATTATTCTAGGGACAATGGGGTAAAAAAAGGACCATATGGGCCAGGCTCGGTGGCTCATGCCTGTAATCCCAGCACTTTGGGAGGCTGAGGTGGGTGGATCACTTGAGGTCAGGAGTTTAAGACCTGCCTGGCCAAGATGGTGAAACAAAGTCTCTACTAAAAATACAAAAATTAGCCAGGTGGTAGTGGCACATGCCTGTAATCCCAGCTACGTGGGAAGTTGAGGCAAGAGAATAGCTTGAGTCTGGGAGGCGGAGGTTGCAGTGAACCAAGACTGTGCCACTGCACTCCAATCTGGGCAAGAGAGTGAAACCCTGTCTCCAAAAAAAAAAAAAAAAAACATAACCCAAAATTGGATAGTGATTTTGATTTCTATTTACGTGTTCTCAAAGAGTTTCAAAATCTTTCCCTTTCCAAAATGGTTATTATTACAAAGTATAATTTATAACCACATAACCTAAACATCACCTTTACTTCCAAACTCACAGTTTTTTTGTTTACTTTATTGCAAACAATATATTACAGCAAAAAAGTATTTTAAGGTAAAATAGTCTGTTGACTATCTGAAATCAAATCAGATCCCTTCCTAGTCCTTATTAATGTGTCCACAAGCATATCCAAAGGTAGCTCTCGAAAGTACAATGGCTAAATTGTTCTTACACATAAGAAATTTTAAATAGCAGTAGACACAAAAACCCGTTTGAAATTAACCAAAAACACTTTAAAATTTCACCATCATTCATTCATCCAACACACTTTTATTGTGTGTTTAGTTCACAGAAGGCAAGAGTGCTTCCAACTGTAAAAGAAACTGACATTTACATTAAAAGGTAAAATTTGAACAATTAGCCTAGGGTATACAGTAAGTACAGATGTGCACTATGCCTAAATTTCAGAAGATATGAACCAATTTGTAAATAAACCTCTCTGCCCTCTTGTTCACAAAAGTCAACAAAATTCTCTGAACATAGACCACTCCGCTAAATTTCATGAAAAGAATCTTAATCATCTTTCATTCTTCCCTTTTTACCTTGCAAGAGGCTGTGGAGGTTCTGAGAGAGACATGTCACTACTGGAAGATGCACTTGGGGGACGTTCCTGTACTTTGTTTTCTTTGTCAGATTCTCCAGATGGCTGATACCCTGGTTTGGCCTAGGAGAAAAGGACATCAAATTTATATGAGTTCTGTCACAAAGATATATTCAGGTAGCACCTAAGTTAAACATTAAGTCACCTCAGCTCTACAAAGATCATAAAATGTAGTGGTTTTTTTTTGTCAAACAAAACCAATTAAAATTTATTTTGTCTTAAAAACAAACATTACTAATAGCAAAACACCATCTAAAATCCAACGGAGAGCCAGGCACTTTGAGAGGTCAAAGTGGGAGGATCACTTGAGTCCAGGTGTTCAAGACCAGTGTGGGCAACACAGTGCGACCCTGTCTCTACAAAAAATAAACAATTTCCGGCCAGGAGCGGTGGCTCACGCCTGTAATCCCAGCACTTTGGGAGGCCGAGGCGGGCGGATCAGGAGGTCAGGAGATCGAGACCATCCTGGCTAACACAGTAAAACCCCGTCTCTAATAAAAATACAAAAAATTAGCCGGGCGAGGTAGCGGGCGCCTGTAGTCCCAGCTACTCAGGAGGCTGAAGTAGGAGAATGGCATGAACCCCGGGGGGCGGAGCCTGCAGTGAGCCGAGATCGCGCCACTGCACTCCAGCCTGGGCGACAGGGAGACTCCGTCTCAAATAAATAAATAAATAAATAAATAAATAAATAAATAAATAAACAATTTCCTAGGCATGGTGGTGCACACCTCCTGCCTCCCCTTCCATCTCTACCTTTTTGCCTCTGCCACCCTTGAGACAGCAACACCAACTCTTCCTCTTCCTCCTCCTCTCAGCCTACTCAACATGAAGATGACGAGGATAAAGACCTTGATGATCCACTTCCACTTAATGAATAGTCAATATATTTTCTCTTCCTTATGATTTTCTTAATAATATTTTCTTTAGCATATTTCATTGCAAGAATACAGTGTATAATATAGACAACATATAAAATATGTGTTAATCAACATTATGTTATAAGGCTTCCAGTCAACAGCTGGCTATTAGTAGTTCAGTTTTTGGAGAATCAAAAGTTATATGTGGATTTTCAACTGCAAAGGGGTTGGCACCCCAACCCCCACATCGTTCAAAGGTCAACTGTACTTGTTCAGTACTACAATGAAAACTATGCAGGGATGTAACTAATAGCAATGATGAGAGGAAAATAAATCAGTAACAATCACTGTAGGAAATTCTTAATTCAGCTTTTATTTTCCATCACATTTATCACATTACTCCTCATATTTAATATATTTCATGAAGGCCATGATTATTATAAGTATTATCTGAGCATACTAGGAATGATGGGTAATTTTTAAATAGTATAGCAAATAAGCATTTCCTAACCATGAATGACTCTCCTTTGTATATGTCACTACTATTACCTGTGTTTCCTGCGTAACATGTTGATGAGATGGCTCTTCAAGCAAGGTCTTTTCTAGTAGCAATTTGGAGTAAGTTTCCTGTAGTCGCCTAGTTGCTGATGGCTCAGAAGGAGGGACATTTTTTACTTTAGTAAAGGCTTCCTTCTGCTTCCGGTAGAGCTCTTGTAATCGTTTGTTTTTCTGTTCTGTAGCCTCCTTTTGAGCCTTCTTCTCTTCATTTTGCTTTCTCTTCCTTTCCTCCTGCTGCCTAACAATGTACTGTCGTACCTCATCTGTGTCATAGTGGCGCCTTTTGGAAATAACAGGGGGATCTTCATTAGCTGTTATTTTGTCAGGTTTTCTTTTTACTGGGCTGTGACTCCTAGGAGCATGTACTGGTGCTGATGACTTCTGGTTCTGTAACTCTACAGTATCTTGCTTTGCAGTGTGAGCTGTAGAATCCAGCTGTAGGTCATCAAGAATGCCACGAATTTCAATAGGTAAAAAGTCCTTATTTAAGGCAGTATTTTCCTCCTGCTTATTATCTGGAAGAGATGAAGCTAGTTTCTTTATATTATTTTCAGACCGAGATTTACTTCTCGAACGTTCTGAGTTTCTTTGAAGATGTCTATGTAAAACGTCCAACCTGGGATCAGATTCTGCTCTTCCAATGTGACCCCCTGCAAAGTATGAACTGTTAGTGATATACCGAAATTCTATACTCATTCCTAAGATTTAACTGCATTAACAAGAAAATTAGAGAATTTCATTTTATCTTACTTAAACTCAAATTCAAATATCTTACAGTCTTCTGAAGAAAATTATAAAAGGAAAGAAAAGCCTCCCTTTTTAGCAGTAAAAGAAGAATCTCAATCTTCTGAAAAACTATATTTCCTTGGTTTGTTTTTAAATACAGTTTGAAATATTTCTGGACAAAAAAGATAGCTCTTATGGTTGTTATGAATATTTAGCATTTCGATTTCTCTCTTATATACATATTTAGTGTTACTATTTCTCTCTCTCCACAACCCCTCAAAAGGCTGTTAAAAAGGTCAACAATCTTTTTAGTGGAAGGCATCCCAATGAGAAGCAAGGAAATGGCAATGCCTTAATAATCATAAAAAATATATTTTTAAAGCTTTGCAAAGACCAGACTGCATATGCCAAATAATAATGGCACTGAAAATATTAGTTTTTCTGAAAATTCTACAACACTGACCCATTTCATAATTACATGAAATGGCACCATGTTCAGGTAAGTTTATCAAAGGATTTCTGAAACTTTATATTTCCTGTTGATATAAGGAAAAGATCAGAATTAGTCTCTCATCTGATCACATTCACATTTTTAAACATCTGTATAACAAATGCTCAAATATTTTTAAAATTTTGTGTATTTTACTCTATTTCCAGAGAAAATGTGCAAAGGTTAGCAAGAAACATATGAAGAATATAATGATTCCTTTTACTAGAATGCTTCTTCTACAGAGCCAGGGATTTGGGTCTATTTTGCTTATTCTGAAGCCCTAGAGATTACAGCAGTGCCTGCTATGTAGTGGGCACTCAGTAAATATTTGTTGAATAAATGTTAAGCCTCTACAACTCTCCAGTGAAGGATGGAAAAACTTAAATATACAGAAAAAAAATAATTTTATCATCAAATTATCTGATAACATGGCTTTAGACTGGGAATACACATGAGCGTATTTACAAGCTAGATAAAAGTGAAGAGGCCCAAATACAAAGTATTGTATATGTACATTGACTTCTATATGCCAAATTATAGTTGCAACTGCATCTTACTGAATCCATTCCAGAAATTCAAATTAAATTGAAACAAATTTGGCTGCTGAAAAGAAAAACTGGCATATGAGTATTTATATTTCACATCCCAAAATTACTGTTCATGAAAAAAGTAGTTATTTGAAATAGCACTCACTCAAGAAACTTTGATAGGAGAAAAACAGTGGACTTGAGGGTCAAACTAAACAGTTCTGCCACCAAATCTGACACCCACTGACTACATAACCCTTGGGAAAAATCACTTCTCTTTCAGAGCCTGTTTCCTAATCTGTCAAATAAAAAAAATCCAACCTTGTGAATGTTTGTCCGTGTTTGCTTGAATATGTTGGGATGAACCAGGTTGGACCTGATTCTCTCTAAGGTCCCTAAAAGTCTAATATGATTTCATTACAATAATGCTTTCATATTCACAATGACAGCTAAATGTAATTAACACAACATAAACAATTTTTCATAAAGATGAACATAACACCTATATGCAGATATTATCCATAACCAAGCCCAATAGAACATTTTTTTCTTTTTTGAGCTACATTCAAAATTATAAAGCAAAGTCCTAACACATTCTTAAGAGTACTTTTTCCTTCTCTAAGTACTTAATAGCAATTTTTAATTGTTTTCTCAACTATTTTAATTATAGCTACTTACCAGATTTAGCAGTTCTTTCTCTTCCACCTCTGTCACTTGATGCTGTTCTTTGCTCTTTTGGCTCCATTCTGGGAGCAGGTCCCAGAATCTTCTTTACTAATTTTTGTCCATCTCGCCAAGAAGATGTACTTATAAGATGACTACTACCTAAAAAAATACATGGCACTGAAATTAAAACTTAAATTTTAATTGTAAGAAGTGTATCTACTCAACCATACAGGTTTTATTATTAATCTTATGTTCATCTGTCAAGGTCAAAAGATTTACAATATAATGATATTTTTAAACCCTAACCTCCCCAAGTCAGTTAACCATTTGTTTATATCTTGATTTACCCACACATCTGAAATAAATGTAAAATGCTTTGAAAGTTAAGTACCAAATAATGATTCCTAAACCTCAAGAACTAAGGCACAAACCAGCCTGGCCAACATGGCAAAACCCTGTCTGTACTAAAAATACAAAAAATTAGCCAGGTGTGTGGAGGGTGCCTATAATCCCAGCTACTAAGGAGGCTGAGACACAAGAATCGCTTGAACCCAGGAAGCAGAGGTTCCAGTGAGCTGAGATCGCACCCCACTGCACTCCAGCCTGGTGACAGAGCAAGACTCCATCTCAAAAAAAGAACTAAGGTAGCAAATTTGACAAAACAAAAATATGTCTTAACATACAACAAGTGTTTGGTTTACCAATATCTAGCACAGTACATGGCACATGATAAAATAATATGTTTGCTTTAAAAAAATGACTTAATCAAAGAACATGTAAAAAATTTGGAGGAAACATATAACAAAGAGTTAACAATGATTACTTTTGAAGGGGATGGTATTACAGGGACTTTCACATAATATTTTACAGATATGTACCAAAAGTACACACTACTTTTCTATGTACAAAACAGTAACATTTAAAAAGTATAATCATTTTAAATGGCCCTCATCATAAAAATTCAAAAAAATGTTTCAATAAATACAGCTGTTTACCAGAAGAAAAAAAGATTTTCATCCACTAGCTTCAGAATGTAACAAATTAAAAATTAAGCAATCATCTCAAAATAGACAGTGACTTAAAAAGAAATGAAAAAAAAAGACTGTTTACAAAATAGAAACTACAAAAAATAAACATAGAATAAAAGTGTTTAAATGCAAAGTAATATAAGAAACAGAGGTCGGGCATGGTGGCTCATGCCTATAATCCCAGCACTTTGAGAGGCTGAGGCAGGAGGAATGCTTGGGGTCAGGAGTTTGAATCCAGCTTGGGAAACATAGCAGGACCCTGTTTCTACAAAGAATTAAGATTAAAAAAAATTAGCTGGGTACAGTGATGCGTGCCTGTAGTCCCAGCTACCCAGGAGGCTGAGGTGGGAGGATCACTTGAACCCAAGAGTTCAAGGATGCAGTCCGCTATGATCATGCCACTGTGCTCCAGCCTGGGACACTGAGTGAGATCCTGTCTCAGAAAAAAAAAAAGAAAGAAAGAAAGAAAAGAAAGGAAGGAAGAAACAGAATGACAATGAAAATAATGTAGTAGCACTTCAAGCCTAATTAAATTATTGTAACATTTTTACATTAATAGTCAATGCTGGTAAAATTATAATAAAATCATTCTGCCTACACATTACTTGCTGAAATATAAGTGGGTATAGTTTCTTTAAAAAAAAAAAAAAAAAAAGCAAACATGGGATTATGTGTCAGGGACCCCAACAGTATTCATGCCCCTTGATCAATGATCCAACAAACAGAAATTTATACAATATAAATAATCTAAAAGAAACAAAAAAATAGATGAAAATGTTGACTGTATCATTTTTATAGTATCGGAAGTAACTAAATACTGAAGAATGGTGAATAGTTACTATTTCTACTAGAATATTGTGTGGCCATTACAAATGACAATTTTCATAAGAAACAACAGAAATGTTCCTGTGAAAAGATGCAAAAACCAATGAAATTTTACATATACAAAAAAATTTAAATAAACAGTGATTACCATAACCTACTATTACAATTTTAAAATGAATGTAAGGAAACATACAAAGTAATACTAGTTCTTTATTTAAGTCTGGATAGTGGTTTTATCTGTTTTCTATTTTCCCAGCTTTCTGTGATGCTATTTTATTGTATTTATAATAAAAGACTTTCCATTTAGAGTTTCTTTAAAAAGGGCTATAATTTATAAGTTTAAACGGAAGTATCATTTTAATAAAAACATCAATTATAAAAAGGTGAGTTTTAATGTGTGCTGTTTACTTTAGAAATGTTTCTGCACCTTGTTATTAACCTTATACAGTTGACCTAAAATATTTAAAGGGTTTTACGTATACTGCTCAATCTATTTATAAGAAACTTGATGTTCTTATGTAAAATGAGAGAACAGGTTTCTCTTCAATTTCAGCCTGATTTTCTGAATCAAAAGCAACCATGAATACACTGGATAGTAATTTATACATGTTGGCATCTGAATATGCTGAGTGGTTATTTCTAAATTCTAACTTTCTGGAACAGTTACACACGGTCATTGGTTAAAAAAAAAGGAATTTCACTACATAAACTATTAATACAGCTTTAGCATATTTAATGACTCTCTATCTAGCTCACTGCCACAGTACATACATGAGAATTAGCCTACCACAAAACTGGATAAATACAATCCAAGATCAGTGTTCATAAGTTTTAGGGGTCCCTGTGCTTCATTTCAAACTATGCTTCTGACAACAGTATTACATAACGCCACATGAAACACAATACTTTTTAAAAATGTAATTATTGCCTGGGTGAGTGGCTCACGCCTATAATCCCAAAACTTTGGGAGGCTAAGGCAGGCGGATCGCTTGAGGCCAGGAGTTCAAGACCATCCTGGCCAACATGGCAAAACCCCATTTCTACTAAAAATACAAAAATTAGCTGGGCGTGGTGGCACATGCCTGTAATCCCAGCTACTCAGGAGGCTGAGGCATGAGAATCACTTGAATCCAGGAGGCGGAGATTACAGTGAGCCAAGATTGTGCCAGTGTACACCAGTGACAGAGCAAGACTCTGTCTCAAAAAATAAAGTAAAATAAAATGTAATTGTTAATGCTCAGATAACTCATGTTTTTGTAACATTTTATTTTTTTATCTGTATATAGCAAGTGTCACTCTATTATGACATCTAAAGTTAACAATGGGTGTCACAAAATGTGTTATCTGCCATTCTACTGATTAGTGTATGACTAGAAAAACAGATGCCTGATCAAAAACCAGTACCCCATCAGTTTTGCCCTGGTGGTCTCATAACATCTTGTGACCTCTTACCGCAGCACTAATCATACTTTATTGTAACAACATATCTACTATTCCCTGACAAGACTATAAGCTCCATGAAGGCAGGGGCTAGATGCATCTTGCTTACCAATGTATTGTCTAAGTTTAGTACAGCACAGTACCTCACATACAGCAAATGTTCAAAATATTAATATTTGTATAATGAATGAATGAATTTAGAATGTCTCCAAATTGAAAGTGACAGGTTCCCAACTTTCTCCATTCTCTTGGCCCAAATTACTTACTGAGAAGAATATGACATTCTAAATAGCCATTTTCAATATAGCCAGAAATAATAATTACTATTATCAGTGGAGTCATAGCTAACAGTTGAGTCTTTATCATGTGCCAGGCATTATAATGAGTGCTTTGGGGTATTAACTCCTAGTTCTCACAACAACCCTGTGGGATAAATACTACTGCTTTCCCATTTTACATATGAGAAAACCAAGGCACACTAAAATTAGCTCATTTACCAAAGGAACAAAGCTAGTTATAAATTTGGGCAATCTGGATGAGGGCCAAAATGTTATGGAACTAGAGAATTATCTTTTTTCCATTCTTGATCTATTCAGACTTCCACCTGACTAATACTGGTTGGAACGCCATAGTTCTGATGTGCAACATTTATTCTCTTTTGAGAATAAGTGAAAGGATTCAGTGACAATCAGAAACAATCCCCTTGTATAGAAAAGTTCACAACATAAAAATTACCTTTAATCTGGTTAACTTATATTAAAAATCATCACAGAAAAAAATTGGAGAGAAGACAGATGTGTTCAGTATGTTGATGAACATATATGGTGAACAAATGGTTTCGTGGATGTATAAAATTATGAAAATGTATCAAACTATACATTCTAAATATGTGCAGTTTATGTCAATTACCCCTTAACACACACACACACACACACACACACACACACACACACACGATACATAAAATGTATTAATTTTTTATATGTGCCAAACAATGAGAACTTTTGGTAACAGTAATATTTAACTTCAAGATGGATTAAAGACTTAAACGTAAGACCTAAAACCATAAAAACCCTAGAAGAAAACCTAGGCAATACCATTCAGGACATAGGCACGGGCAAAGACTTCATGACTAAAACACCAAAAGCATTGGCAACAAAAGCCAAATTTGACAAATAGGATCTAATTAAACTGAAGAGCTTCTGTACAGCAAAAGAAACTATCACCAAAGTGAACAGGCAACCTACAGAATGGGAGAAAAATTTTGCAATCTATCCATCTGACAAAGGGCTAACATCCAGAATCTACAAGGAACTTAAACAAATTTACAAGAAACAAACAACCTCATCAAAAAGTGGGCAAAGTATATGAACAGACACTTCTCAAAAGAACACATTTATGCGGCCAACAAACATGAAAAAAAACCCATCATCACTGGTCATTAGAGAAATGCAAATCAAAACCACAAAGAGATACCATCTCATGCCAGTTAGAATGGTGATCATTAAAAAGTCAGGAAACAACAGATGCTGGAGAGAATGTGGAGAAACAGGAACATCTTTACACTGTTGGTGGGAGTATAAATTAGTTCAACCATTGTGGAAGACAGTGTGGCAATTCCTCAAGAATCTAGAACCAGAAATACCATTTGACTCAGGAATCCCATTATTGGGTATATACCCAAAGGATTGTAAATCATTCTACTATAAAGACACATGCACACATATGTTTATTGCAGCACCACTCACAATAGCAAAGACTTGGAACCAACCCAAATGCCCATCAATGATTGACTGGATTAAGAAAATGTGACACATACATAGCATGGAATACTATGCAGCCATAAAAAAGGATGAGTTCATGTCCTTTGCAGGGAAATGGATGAAGCTGGAAACCATCATTCTCTCAGCAAACTAACACAGGAACAGAAAACCAAACACTGCATGTTCTCACTCATAAGTGGGAGTTGAACAATGAGAACACATGGACACAGGAAGGGGAACATCACACATCGGGGCTTGTTGGGGGCTGGGAGGCAGGAGAGGGATAGCATTAGGAAAAATACCTAATGTAGATGACGGGTTAATGGGTACAGCAAACCACCATGGCACACGTATACCCTGTGTATCAAACCTGCACGTTCTGCACATGTATCCCAAAACTTAAAGTATAATGAAAACATTAATTAAAAACAAAAAAAAAGGATGGACATGTTGAGAAAACTAACCTGTTCTGCATTCTGTACTTGATAACTGTGCTACTTTTTGGACTTTTCGTACTGGCTTGACTACTTTCTTCTCTTTACTTTTTTCAGCAGGTTTCTCCTTTATAGAAATATCATCTGAAAAGCAGAAATATTTACAGCAAATATAACAATGATTTTCATTCCCTCACTTATCCTCCGCCCATAGGAAAAATCTGTATAAAGTATATGCTGCAGGTAGGGAGAAAGAAACCTACACTGAGGCTACTTCTATGGCCCACATAATACCAACATCAACTCCTTTTATGGAAAAAAGGAGTTGGAAAATATATGAAGATTACCACCACTCCAGTATTGGGTTCCAATCCTTTGTTATTTATTTATTCTTCTAAGAAACTCTTGAGAAGTTTACTTAGTTTCACAAATGCTTTCCAAGTCAGGATCATTGCATTTTATAGGATCTCAGAGGTGAGCACTCTCACAGATTCCTATTTCATTTAGAAATTTCTATATAAAAACTTTACGAAATACTCAATATAATATTCTTAAATTAAGGCCTCTTTATGATGATGCTAGTGAAACATGTCAAGGTATTTTATATACACATTATTACTAATTTTTTAAAAATCCAACTTGCAGAAATAAACTGATTACACATGTTAAGCTTAAAAAATTAACTTCAATTACGGATCTGAATGAATGTACTTTAAAATATGTGTAGAGTTCTGCATTCTGGGTAGAGTGGAAATAAGTATAAGTAAAGGCCTTAAAGCAGGACCATACCTAGTATCTAAAAAGAAACCCAGCAAGCAGGTCAGTGTGAGTGGACTGAAAAAAGAGAAGATTAGTAGGAACTACGGTCAGAGACATATAACTAAGGGCTAGATCATGCAGGGCCATCTAGGCCACTGTAAGAATTTCAGGTTTTACTCAAGAATGAGATGGAAGGTTTTGAGAGATTATGAACAAAGGAGCAAAATTAATCTAAATTAATTTTTAGCAAGTTATGACAATAGACTCATTAGAAGAAGAGCAGATAGAGGGAGACCAGTGAGGAGACTACCAGAATAATCCAGATAGGAAACTGATGGTGGCCTCGATCTAGGTGGTGGTAATGGAAGTGGTGAAAGTGATTATATTCTAAGTATATTTCAGACAATATTACATACAAAATATGAGGCGGGGGTGTGATACTCAAGAATGACAAGATTTGGGGGCCTGAACAATTAGAGGGATAGAATTAAATGACATGGAGACACTACCAGAGTAGCAGGTTTAAGGGGTATATCATGACCACATTTATTTAGTTAGTTCCATTTTGGATATATTAAGGTTGAGAAATCTATTATACATCCAAAGGGAGACATGGAAGTAGCAGCTGGATACAAGTGAGTTCAGAGGGGAAGTGTGGGCTAAAGACATTACTTTGGGAATCACTAGCAACAGGGAACATTTAAAGCCCTGAGACTAGACAAATTTGTCCTGTGTGCAGATAGATAAGCTGTAAAAAAAAAGAAAGAAAAATAGAGTGAGTAGAGGGAGGGGGATTGGAGAGAGAGAAAATGAAAGAAAGGGAAGAAAAGGAAGGGGAGAAGGTTAAGAAAAAAAAAAGAAATTTAAAAAAAGAGAGAGAGGGGAAAGAAAGAAAGAAAGAAAGAAAGAAAGAAAGAAAGAAAGAAAGAAAGCAAGCAAGCAAGCAAGCAAGCAAGCAAGCAAGCCAGCCAGCCTGCCTGCCCAAGCTCTGAGGACTGAGGTCAAGGCATCCTGATGATTAGGAAAAAAACAACTGAAAAAGAATAATTAGGTTTAGGAGGAAAACCAGATACTTATAGTATTCTAGATGTCAAGTGAAAATTTCAAAGAAGAAGTGATCAATCATGCTGCTGACAGATCATAACAAATTAGTATTAAATATTGCATTTAGCAATGTGGAAGTCACTGATGATCTTGATAAATAGGGACAAACACCTATAGAAAGGATTTAAGAGAAAGAGAGGAGACAAATTGAAGACAATGAGCATAAGGCAACTTTTTGCAGTTTTGCTGAAAACAAGAAACAAACAGGGCAGCAGCTGGAGAAAAGTAAGGCCAAAAGAGGGGTTCTTTTACAATGACTGATATAACAGCATGTTATCACATAGTATGTTGATGAGCATGACCTGGTAGAGAGGGAAAACTTGATCATGCAAAAGAAAGGCAACAGGGCTGAAGTAACATCCTTAAATACGTCAGAGCAAATGGAATCTAAAACACAAGTAGATGGGTTAGTCTTAGCTAGGAACATCATAGTTCATCTACCGTAACAAGAGAGAAGGCAGAATATCAAAGTCTTTTGACATATTCTACTAGTCTATAATGATACTATCCTATGAGGTATATTGTTATTATCCCTATCTTACAGATGAAAAAACCAATAAAGAGAAGTTATGTAACATAGCTAGTATACTCAACTAATAACTGACAGAGGCAGAACTGGAAGCCTTGAAAGCTGATTCCAAAATCTTGGCTCTTAACTATTACATTATTCTTCCTTTGCACATGAGAAAAAAATTTCTGAATAGAGTGTTGTATAATAATAGCAAGAAAACTGGATCGGACACTTAATGCCACAGAAATGTATTAGTAGAAGCTTTGTGAGGGCTTACTACAAAGACCTCACACTTTAGAATCAGAGTGGGTTTTGAATCTTGGCTTCAATTCTTAATTACTCTATCCAACCCTAGGAAAATGACTCTTTGAGCCTCCATTTCCTCAACTGTAAAAAATAGAAAAGCCCACTCAGCATCTTGCCCAAGCTCATACTATTCGGTAGGTAGTACCATTATTAGTATGACCTTCCTATTACCCTCTCCCAGTCTTCCATGGGTTCCTCCTGTTTCTAATTCCTAACTTATTCCCTTCCTATAATACTTATTTTTCTTTTGGTATCTTGCTCTCATGTAAGTATCTTACCTGCTGCCTGACAAATTACTCACTACTTCAAAGATCTCAGAGGCCTAAGCAGAAGTAAACTTCAACTAAATTCTGCTATGTTTCCTTCAAATCAGGCAGTCCCAACTCTGAAAGTCCCTCAGTTTAAAAATAGCCTAGTTTCTGTCTCATTAACCATGTAAGCTAATTTTAACCCTGGAGCTGAGTCTAGAGGCTAAGAGAGCCTTATGCCTCAAACCACCACAACTTCAGCATGCCATGCAGTTAGAGAAGGAAAATATTGTTAGTTTGGTGACAATTTTATGTGTAAATATTATAAATTAGATAGCATGTATGACAAAATACTCAAAACATAAGAAAGCTCTATTCTCACCTGCAAAGTGAAGTGCTAAATCTCGATACAGTTCTCTACTCATGTTTTGAAACTCAGCCTCCTGCCACACTTTCCCATCAGGTGTTCGAATCTTGGTCTCTGAAGGGTTGAAACCTAATACATACCAGTAACACAGAATATTCTTATCAAAGTTGCTTTATAAGTTTTGTTTGTTATACTTTTTAAAGTGATATATAATCGACATACATAAAATTCACTCTTTTAGTGTTACAATTCAGTGGTTTATAGTATATTCACAAAATTGCACAACTATTGTCATTATCTAATTCCAGAGCATTTAATCACCCTGAAAGAAACCCTGTACCTATTAGCAGTCACTCCTCATATGACCCCCTCCATCCCCTGGCAACTACTAATTCTATCTTTATGGATTTTCCTATTCTGGACCTTTCATATAAGCCAAATCATACAACATGTGTCTTTTGTGTCTTATTTTTATCTCACTTTGCATAATGTTTTCAAGGTTCAACCATCATGTAACATGTATCAGGGCTTTATTCCTTTTTATTGCCAAGTGATAGTCCATTGTATGACTATACCAATACTTTATCCATTCATCAGCTGATAGACATTTGGGTTTTTTCTACTTTTTGGCTATTATTAACAATGCTGCTATGAACATTCTTGTGTAGACATGTTTTAAATTCCCTTGGGTATTATATCTAGAAGTAGAATTCCTGGGTCATACAGTAACTCTATGTTTAACTTATTGAGGAACTACCAAATTTTATTTTATTTATTTTACCTTAGCTATCTTATCTATTTTATTTTATTTCATTTTATTTTATTTTTTGAGATATAGTCTCAATGTGTCACCCAGGCTGGAGTGCAATGGCAAGATCTCAGCTCACTGCAACCTCCACCTCCTGGGTTCAAGCAATTTTCCTGCCTCAGCCTCCCAAGCAGCTGGTGCTACAGGCACACACCACCATTCCTGGATAATTTTTGTATTTTTATTAGAGACGGAGTTTCACCATGTTGGCCAGGTTGGTCTCAAACTCCTGACCTCAAGTGATCCACCCGCCTTGGTCTCCCAAAATGCTGGGATTACAGGCATGAGCCACCGCGCCAAGTCTACCAAACTGTTTTCTAAAGCAGCTGTACCATTTTGCATTCTCACCAGCAATGTATTGGGGTCCTAATTTCTCCACATCCTTGCCAATACTTACTGTATAGCCACCCTAGTGGGTATAAAGTAGTATCTCATTGTGGTTTTGATTCATACTCCCCTAATAACTAATGATACTGAGCAGCTTTTATAAGCTTTTAAAAGAGGAATGTATAATTAGCTACCACATAGTATGTTAACACATACTGTTTAGGAAAAGTAAGCATCAGTGAGATAAAGCAATATACATTCATTCAAAAAGACTAGAAGTGGAGAAGCACTAAATTAAATGATAAAAGAATACCGATCATAAATCATGAATTTCAAAGAGATGAACTACCCTTCTCCAGATTTAGGGAGAGACAATATTATTTATTCTTCTTGTCTTTGAAGACAGGCATTATAATTGCTACCATCTATCTGTTTTTGCTTATGACTGAACAAATGGGCAAGCTGCCGTTTATACGGACAAATTGTGTCCAAAGTGTGGAAAACAGGTCTTTCAAACATACTTTTTCAATTTCTCAAGAAACCTTACACATATGGGATTTCCTAGGAATTACCATTTGATTTTCCACTTCAAATTTATCCCTACTCTTTGGCCGGGCACGGTGGCTTATACCTGGAATCCCAGCACTTTGGGAGGCTGAGGCGAGTGGATCACTTGAGGCCAAGAGTTTGAGACCAGCCTGGCCAACATGGCGAAACCCCATCTCTACCAAAAATACAAAAATTAGCCAGGCATGGTGGTGCATGCCTGTAATCCCAGCTACTCTTTAGGCTGAGGCACGAGAATCACTTGAACCCAGGAGGTGGAGGTTGCAGTGAGCTGAGATTATGCCACTGCACTCCAGCCTGGGCGACAGACTGAGACTCTGTCTCAAAAAATAAAATAAAATAAATTATCACTATTCTTTAAGAAATACACTGAACTTTGTTTTGTCAAAAACAACAAAATAATGAATAAAGATGATAACCAAAGTAGTATAAAGATTTGTATCTTAAGATGGGCTCAACTTATCAAAGAATTAGCAACCCATACATAACTGCACAATTAAATCAATGTAAAGAATAGGCTGGAGTAAAAAACTGGTAGTAGTACTTTGTAAGTATAAGAGAAAATATACTGGTAAATTAATTACATGTCTAATAGTAAATAATCTATTCAGTTATTAGGCACAATAGCCTCAGTTTAATTTCACCCGACATTTGTGGCAAGGAACACACCATTACATCTATATCTATATAAGGGAAAAAATTTATAAACATAGTGTTCAGTTTTGCAAAATATAGTTTGCCATTAAAAAAGTGTGGTGATTCTGCCTGGCTGCCTGAGGACTGACTGCCATCATGAATGACACAATAACTATTTGTACTAGGAAGTTCATGACCAATCAACTACCTCAGGGAGCACAAACAGTCGTAGATGTCCTTCACCCTGGAAAGGGAACAGTACCAAAGACAGAAACTTGGGGAAAACTAGCCCAAATGTACAAAGCCACACCAATGTCATCTTTGTATTTGGATTCAGAACCCATTTTGCTGGTGACAAGATAAATGGCTTCAGCATGATTTCTGATTCCTTGGATTATGCAATGAAAAATGAGACCAAACACAGACTTTCAAGACATGGCCTGTATGAGAGAAAAAAAGACCCCAAGGAAACAGCAAAAGGAACACAAGAACAGAATGAAGAAAGTCAGAGGGACTGCAAAGGCTAAAAACAGGAGTAAAGATTCTGCAATGACTTTATCTGTGATAACTGCAGATTTTTCATGAGGATTAATAAACTGTAAAAACTTTCAAAAAAAAAAAAAAGGAAGTGTGGCAGTTCTATGCAAACGTATTTCTGTCTTTCTCAACTTTTCACCATCACCTAATCCCACCGCTCAACATTTAACCCTCTTTTTCTCCTCTCCTCTTTAGGAAACATTTATCCCTATGAGAGTCTTTCTTTGCATTTGCATCTTATATGTTAACTTTAAGAAGATTTCACTATCTACATCAGTTTCTCTTTCTGTCCCCAAGTCTTTATTTCCATTTCTTTGTCCACTTTTTTTCTTACTGGTTAAATTTATTAAATAGAATAAAAAACTTACTGTGCACTTACTTATGTCCATGACACTGTACTAGGTTCTGAGATAAAATAAGGGTGACCAAGATAGGCTCTTTATCTTCATGGGCATTTATACCAGGAAGAAAAAAATATGCAAACAACCAAATATAGTACAAGAAAGAATCATATAAACACCATTTGTGTTCACCATTTCAAATTTTTAAAGCAGAACCATAGAGCACTTCTTAGGTTTCTTTTTAAAAATAAAAAATCAAGGTGCAAAATGAGTTTAGTATGCTAATAACTGTATAAAAAGAGGAAGAAAATAAATAAATACACAGACACACAATACACACATACTCCTATTTGCTTATGTTTGCAAAAGTTATTTCTGGAAGGATATACAAATTGTTAACACAAGTAACCTCCAGAAAGGGGGCCAAGCACAAGAGTGACAGAACTTTTCAAGGTATACTCATCTTTTGGACTGCGAACAAAATGAATTTATTATGTCTTTAAACAAACAAACTTAAAATGTCACTTTAGAATACAGTATTTTAAGATGCTTTTAATTTATACTACCAAAAAGTTGGCAGAAAAACAGTTTTTCATTGTTGGAAAAAAAAATCCACTGCTTAGGACATCGGAAGCCATATTCTATAATGAGTTCTCAAATGTTTGCTACCTTTTTCAAAGTAACCCCTCCAAAAGTCATATTTATAAAATATTTTAATATAAAAACTAGCACATTAAAAAAATAGTAAAAGGATTATGGGAAATCCAGTCATCAACTCAAAGAAAGTTATATCTAAGATTTTCACTCTCATTCTGTAAAATTGTTTTTAACTTTTAGGTTTTTATAAATTATTACAAAATATGAATTCAAATGGAACATTTTAACTTTTTCTTAGTGGAATAATCATTGGTATTTCAGAACTTTGACTTGTACAAAGAACAAAACTTAAATATGTAATCTATACTTAATGGGTCTGTACTTAATTACAGCAAAGATTTCGGGTAATCACTATCTTGGAACCAACAAAGAATATTTTGACCTCGCCATTTGCTATGTGCTGTGCCAATAGTATGGATGTGATACACGAATGACTAGAAAAAATTAGAGAATTGTGTTGTTATTAATAAAAAATATTATTAATTATAATATTGGACAATGGCAATTCTTCAGTATTCTAAAGTGAATTGATCACAATTTCTCACAAATTAGCTAGAATGAAATGCAAATTATCCAATTTTATCTAATTCACAATGAAGATCACTAGCAAAAACATAGTAAACAATACAAAAAACTAATAATTGGCGAAAACTGTATGCAGTAGATGTGTTTTAGAGAAAAATGACTAAAGATGCCTTAGGACTATAAGAAACTGCAAAACTTGTTAGAGAAAAATTAGAGTTGACACAGAAATACAAAACAAAACTGATTACAATAAAAAAGTGCCCTAGATTGTTAGTTACTTAAAATTAATAGAAGAAACAGGCTGGGTGTGGTGATTCACGCCTGTAATCCCAGCACTTTGGGAGGCTGAGGCAAGCAGATCATCAGAGATCAAGAGTTCAAGACCAGCCTGGCCAACATGTTGAAATCCTGTCTCTACTAAAAATACAAAAATTAGCTGGGCATGGTGGTGGGTGCCTGTAATCCCAGCTACTCGGGAGGCTGAGGCAGAACTGCTTGAATCTGGGAGGCAGAGGTTGCAGTGGGCCGAGATCATGCCACTGCACTCCAGCCTGGGCGACAGAGTGAGACTCTGTCTTAAAAAAAAAAAAAAAAAAAAAAAGAAAATAGAAGAAACAAATTATTATATAATATTTTGATCTGCCTAAGCATGTATACAAAAACTAAAGTTGGAAAAAATACCCACTAAAACATTAAAAAGGCTACTCTGGCAGAAGTTTAAATAACAAAAATCTAACATGAATTAAACTAATCAAGAAATCAGCCCTTCGTTAAAAACTTTACATGGATGACCCTGTGAAAATAATTTCAGGAACATAAAAATAAAAATAGAAAAATAGAAACCCCTTAAAACCACCATATATAAAAACTTGAGTTGGCTTTAAAAAAAAAAAAAGCTCTAAAGAGCACTTTCTAATGAAAATCTACCAATGTTGGCATAAATGTGATTTAAATATTGTTTTCTTAAATATGAGGATGGTAAATCATTCACGTTAAAAGTTGAAGGTTAAAATATCAACAGGATCAATGCCAGTGCCAAAATATTCTGTACTCAAATATTTTCTGGAAATGGAGTTATCTTTTAAATATTACTTTTGAAATAATTCCTAATAACAATCCAAATACAATGGCAGCATAAAGGCATTATTCTTTCAGTTCTTTGAAAATAGTATCAATTATTATTTGTATAACTTAGTAAATGTTCATATAGTGGTTCTCAAACCACAAGAATCCCCTGAAGGACTAATTAAAAATTCCAATTCTGGACCCCAGCCCCAGAAAATCTGACTTAGGACTAGTGTTGGATCTAGGAATCTGTATTTTTAACATGTATGTTGAAATAATTTTTTTTTTTTTTTTTTGAGACCGAGTCTCACTCTGTCGCCCCATGCTGGAGTGCAGTGGTGAGATCTCGGCTCAGTGTAACCTCCGCCTCCCGGGTTCACACCATTCTCCTGCCTCAGCCTCCCGAGCAGTTGGGACTATGGGGGCCCACCACCACGCCTGGCTAATTTTTTTTGTATTTTTAGTAGAGACAGGGTTTCACCATGTTAGCCAGGATGGTCTTGATCTCCCGACCTCATGATCCGCCCACCTCGGCCTCCCTAAGTGCTTATGCAGTCAAGAATAACATCCTGTTCTAAAGGTGATCCTCTCTATTCAAATACACCCTAGGGAGAAAGAAGAACAAAGAAGCAGGGAGAGGAAGATATAAAGACTGATTACAAACCTTTATATGCTGGAGCAGGTGGTGCTGTTGCCACTTTTCTGACTTTTGCTGTTACTGAGTTATCAACATTAACAACCATTACTGGATGGTCAATATGACCCAGCTTCTGGCCCCGGCCATTTGTTTCTTCTGAGTGTTCCCACTGTTTTCTAATCCGTTCCTTAAGTTTTTCCAGTTTGACATCATGTTGTCGCCGCTTTAGAATATCTAATCTTTGGGAATTAGAAGTACTAGTAGAGGATGGAGAAGAGTCAGTTAGTCGTAACGCTTTTGGATCAGTATCATGGGCCATGTTATTCACAGAAAGCTTCAAATTATTCTCACTTCCTTTTGTTCTGTTAGGCATTTCTTCCTCAGTTCTCATAGAAGCTCCCATCCTAATCAAACATTCAGAATTTTGCAATGCATCAATTGCTGGTCGATCATTTAAAAACCTAACAACTGTATCATTGATGACAGATGATTGGGAGCTCTCAAAATCACAGCTCCGTATATTCCGTTCTTCTCGACTGCCTATCATCCAGTTACCGCTCTCAGTCTTTTCTTCATTAACATCTACACAGTATACGTGCTTTGATTCCAGATGGCTGGAACTGAAATTGGAAGGTGCACCATGGATTTCCCTACAATAAAAAATAATAAGCTCTGTGACTATGATTAATAATATATTGTATACTTGAAAATTGCTAAGAGTAGATTTTAAGTGTTCTCACCACAAAAAAATAAGAATGAGGTAATACATGTTAAATAACTTGATTTAGCCATTCCACAAGGTATACATATATCAAAACATTATGCTGTACACTATACATACGTAGTTTCTACTTGTCAATTTTAAAGCTAAATCTTTTTAAAAGCTTTTCATAAAAGTACAAAAACTAGTCAAATTGAAACCAGTCATACAAACTGAGAACTCTAAGCTAGCATTAGAAACCAAAAAATAAAAAACCTAGAAATTCCAGTAAGTTAAAGATTGCAAAATAACCATTAATAATATTATGACTCAAGGCTCAATACCCCCTCTATCAAGTAAAATGGCAAATAATCTAAATAACAATCTGCATATTATAAAATAAGAAATATGAAAAAGATATGTAAAGAGATTTCCTAAGAACTCCAGAAAACAGGATGATAATCTGACTTTGGGTATTCACTTGACATTTGTCAATAAAACGTGTTATTTGCTACTCTATAAAATCTTAAGTACCAGAGAAAAAAGTTCTCAAATAATGGCATTTCATATATGTCACTTCTAAATAAGGAACCAAATTAATAAATAGACTGGGGGTAGAAATAAAGTGGAAGTACAATAAATATTTTCTTCCAAATAAATGTGGTTAGTAATGTTAAATCTGTTAACCACAAAGTACTTTTTGGCAGCTTCAAACTTTGTAAAGCGTATCTAGAAAATCAGGAGTAAGCACAGAAGGCTGGGCAAAGCCAAAGTACCTCTCACAAGTCCATATTCTCTGCTCATAGAAACACTAGCAAAAATCTTCCTCCAGAGACTATTTTTATTTTACATGTCATTCTAATAAGCCTTACTTTAGATTGATTGATTGATTGATTTTTGAGAAGGATTCTCATTCTGTCACCCAGGCTGGAGTGCAGTGGTGCGATCTCGCTCACTGCAACCTCTGCCTCCCGGGTTCAAGCGATTCTCCTGCCTCAGCCTCCCGAGTAGCTGGGATTACAGGTGTGTGCCATGATGCCTGGCTAACTTTTCTATTTTTAGTACAGACAGGGTTTCACCATGTTGGTTGGCCAGGCTGGTCTTGAACTCCTGACCTCAGTTGATCTGCCTGCCTCGGCCTTCCAAAGTGCTGGGATTACAGGTGTGAGCCATTGTGCCTGGCTGAGCCTTATTTTAGGAAAGCACTTTATGAAAAGGGAGGCTAATGAAGACAAATGTTTCAGCAGTGAGAAGAGCACATGAATCATGAAAAAAAAAGTCAAGAAAATTATAAAACCAGACCTAACAACAGGCTGGACCTGAACGTCTGAAACAGCAGCCACTAGCCACATATGGCTATTGAGCACATGATATGTGGCTAATCGAAATTAAGAGCTGCTGTAATGTAAGCTACATACTGGGTTCTAAACATTTAGGAATGTAAAATATCTTTTTTGTGTGTGACTACTAAAAATGTTGAAATTACATGTGTGGCTCACATTAATGGTTCTATTGTATAGCACTGATCTGATCTAGGGCATTTCAGGTAAAAGCATAAAACCCTAAGTACTACAAAGATTCTCAAGGCCACAACAACATAACATAGTAACTGTTTCTACTGAGATCATATGAGCGTGTGCATTTTTCTAAGAAAACAGTCTACAGCTTTTGTCAGATTCTCACTGGGGTCCACAACCCAAAAAACTTTAGATCCTGTTCTGAGTGGTTGATTATTGAAAAAGATGGGATCGCCAGGTGTGGTGGCTCACACCTGTAATCTCAGCACTTGGAGAGACCAAGGTGGGCAGATTGCTTGAGCCCAGGAGTATGAGACCAGCCTGGGCAACACGGCAAAAACCTGTCTCTACAAAAAATACAAAAATTAGCTGGGAGTGGTGGCGCCTGTCTGTAGTCCCAGCTACTCGGGAAGCTGAGGTGGGAGGATGGCTTGAGCCTAGGAGATCAAGGCTGTAGTGAGCTGTGATTGGGCCACTGGACTCCAGCCTGGGCAACAGAGTGAGACACTGTCTCAAAAAAAAAAAAAAAGAAAGAAAGAAAAAAGAAAAGAAAAAAGAAAGAGATAGGGCTGTGAAATGAGTCCTGTAGCTACCATCAGAGACCGAGGCTAAATGTGATTATTTTCACTATATTAACAAGACTGTAACAATTCACAGTTAAAATAATTTAGTTCTAAAATTAGCACACGCAAAAATAAAATAAAACATAAAATGTTAGGTTACGTACCATGTCCCACTCTCAAAAGAGGACAGAAAATTAACACCCCCCCAACAAAAAGTAATTTCATACAGTCTTTCATTCACTCACTCATTAAATATTTACTGAATACATATAAGGATGTTCACTATACAATTCTTTCAACTTTTCTGTAAATTTGAAATTTTTCCTGGTAATATTTTAGGAAAAAATATTTATTTAATATTTAGTACATGCTAGGCATTAAGCTAAGGCCTTGAGAGTAAGATTTACATCCTTAGATAGACTAATGGGCAGATATGGAACCAAAACATAATGCAACCTGAAAATGTTTTAATAGAGGAAGTTACACAGTACTTTGGGAGCAGAGAGGGATGATGAACTAGGTTGGGAAAATGGGAGTGGGGTAGAAACAGATCTGGTCATTTTTCCCACAGAAAGTAATAAGAGTTTTAAGTGAGGAATGGAATCCACCAGGTGGAGGGTATTCCATTCACAGCTATCTTCTGGGTATTTTTTCTTTTCTTAAAAGATACATAATTTACAGGCCAGCCGCAGTGGCTCACAACTGTAATCCAAGCACTTTGGGAGGCCGAGGCAGACAGAACACTTGAGCCCATGAGTTCAAGACCACCCCATGAGTTCAAGACCACCCTGGGCAATATGGTGAAACCCCGCCTCTACCAAAAATACAAAAAAAAATTAGTCGGTCATGGTAGCTAGCGCCTGTAAGCCTCAGCTAGGAAGCTGAGGTGAGAGAATCGCCTGAGTCCAGAAGGTGGAGGTTGCAGTGAGCCATGATTATGCCACTGCACTCCAGCCTGGGCAACAGAGCAAGACCTTGTCTCAAAAACAAAAAACCATAATTTACATACTTTTAAATGTAAAGTAGTATTATTTACAGGAAGAACACTGAACATAAATATAAAGTGAGCAACTCAGTCTCAATTCTGGTAATGATTATGTCTCTAGGCAAGCTGCTTAATATCTGTGTGTTTAGAGATTCTAAACTTCGATTATTCTTCTTCAAACTTTTCCCTTCTTTTTTTTAACTCTGAACTTTACCCAGATTATACCCCTGACCTTCTTTCTATAATTTTTCCAGCACTTCTAGTGCTTCGATACTAGTGATAACTCCCAGATTTATATTCTCAGGCCTGACCATCCCAGATACATTCTTACCCAAATTTTTAAATGCCTACTTAAAATTTCCACCGAGATAATTCAAAATTGCATCAAATGCAACATATTAAACATTGAACTGACAGTCCATCTCCATCTCTCAAGGTATGTAAAATTTAAGAGTACAAACATATACCTAGAACTACCAAGTATCATCATGAAACTTCTTGATTTGTGTTTAAAACACCAAAAAATGCTTACAAATGAAACAAAAAAACAGGCCCAGTGTTTATTACTTATTATAAGAGCATGAATGCACTGAAATCATTAGTAAAGTGTCCCTCAAATACAAAATTCTGTAAGTTTATCAGTTGAATATCTTAAGCTATGTTAACAAAAATGCAAAGCATTTTATATCATCTATGCTATCAAAATTCATACATCAATCTTGAACATCTAAGTTGCTGAAAGCCATTGGCAACAAAATAAAACAATAAATCAACTCACATTCTCAATAAGATAGGAATTTTATGTGACTAATTAATGCTACCCAAAAAAAAAGAAAAAAAGTAAGCAATATAAAGTTCACTATATAAAATAAATGATCTGAGATATTAAGACGAAACAAAAAAGCCACACTTCCAGAGATGGAATAATTTGTTTCTAGGAAACGTATTTATTACAATAAAGGTGGCTTGAGGCAACTATTACTATTTCTTCCCCCTCGAATATTTATCTGCAGAAGAGGCTACTGCAGTCAGTATTTCATGTTTGCACTATCTTTTGTAGCCATCTTTTGTGGAGAATGAAAAAGGTAGTAATATTAGAGTATTATACTATTTCACAACCAGAGTGCTATAAAAAACTCAGAAAACAACGTATACTCTTACTGTAAATATTACAGGCTAAACCTATTTGATACCTTTTTTTTTTCTCAATACTAACCTATAAGAAACCAAAGGTTCACGAAATTCCACACGATTATTTTTCTTCACATTACTCTCCAGGGTGGTGGCCCTGAGAGGACTACGAGATTTCTCTTTTCGTGATTTAGTGGATTTGGAGATTGGAGCATTAACCCAAGAATCATCCAGGTATCTACCATCTGAAGGAAAAGGAAATCTGTGAGAACATATAATATAAAATACAACTGCCTCTGAATTAGGCTGGTATCTTAAAAAAAAAATTAGGTATCTATTATTTCTAATAGTTGGATATTATATAAGTTATCTCTAGTATCTCTAGTTGGATATTATATAAGTACATGAAAAACATTCAGGTTAAATTGTTAAAGTAACTCCATTGATACAGAAATTGTATTCTGAGGAAACAATGCAAAATAAAATTCTACACATAAAATTTATTTTTTGTCATGGCTCTCACTCACTTAAGAGAGAAGTATCATATACAACCTAACAAACTCCCAGGTTAAAAAAAAATGTATATATATATATATATACACACACACACACACACACACACACACACACACACACACATATATATATATACATATCACAGTTTAGGTAGAGAGTACTGACATGGAGGTTTTCACCCACCAATTAAGAAACCACAGAATGGCCTGGCATGGTGGCTCACGCCTGTAATCCCTGCACTTTGGGAGGCCAAGGCAGGCGGATCACGAGGTCAGGAGTTTGAGACCAGCCTGACCAACATGGTGAAACCCCATCTCTTCTAAAAATACAAAAATTAGAAAGGCCCGGTGGCGCGGCTACTCAGGAGAATCGCTTAAACCCAGGACGTAGAGGTTGCAGTGAGTAGAGATCATGCCACTGCACTTCAGCCTGGGCGACAGAGTGAGACTCTGTCTCAAAAAAAAAAAAAAAAAAAAGAAAAGAAAGAAACCACAGAATCAAAATACAAAAGGTAACCCAAGAAAAATTTGCATTGTATCAATTTATGACAGTCACCATATGAAAGAGATTCCATTTATGATTTTAAATCCCAAGAAAAATATACGTTAAGTCAACTAAATTTCATTTCCAAAGTGCTATATATCTGTGAATTAAAAAAAAAAATCAGACATATATAACCTCAAAATGAAACTCTCATCACTAAAAACAAATGAAAACTCATTGTCAAGGGTGATGCAATAGTGCTAAAGTCCCTGGTCAAAAGATGGTGAAAACACCATCTACGGTTACTGAACATGAGGCTGCTTCATAGCTACCAAATATCAAAGGAAAAAAATTAAATGCCAGTGTCTCTGACAAAAAAGCAAACAACACGAGACTGTAAGAAGAAATCAAACTGAAATAAAACTATTACATCAACAACTTATATTTAAGGTAGAGTGTGGTAGCTACACCTATAATCCCAGCACTTTAAAAGGAGTCCAAGATGAGAGGATTACTTAAGGCCAGGAGTTCAAGACAAGCTGGGGCAGCACAGAGAGACTTCGTCTCTACAAAAGATAAAAAAAGATTAGCCAGGTGTGGTGGCACACCCCTGTAGATCTAGCTGTCTGTTTTGTCAAAATTTATATTTAATATATGTATATATTTGGAAGTAACTTCATACATACCTTTTCTACTTATTTTTCGAGTAGCACTTGTAGAAGACTTCTTGGTATCCATGACAGAATCACACACAGCTGTACTTGTAGGGGCTACTTCTAATTTATTTTCAATGTGTCTCAGCTAAAGTTTAAACACCATCATAAGACATAAGTTAATTCTGTAAATAATCCAGCTACCATCAATTTACATGGTTATTTAAAAGTATATTGCCCAATACCTTTTTCCAAAGTAGAAAAAAACTCAGGAATCCTTTCTTATAATATTTGTTTTTCATCATTTTTTACTTTAGCTATAATAACATCTGGCACAATGCTCCCCAAATTTAGACAAGAAAATCAGTAAGATTCTGAAGAATATCAAAGAGTTTCCATTTGACATGTTGATCTATTTTTTAAATTGTTGAGTATTTTCAAAGTAGTAAATTATCTGACTTTTTTTTTTTTGAGACGGTCTCGGTCTGTCGCGCAGGCTGGAGTGCAGTGGCGTGATCTCAGGTCACTGCAACCTCCACCTCACGGGTTCAAGAGATTCTCCCTCAGCCTCCCTAGAGGCTGGGATTACAGGCGTGCGCCACCACGCCGGGCTAATTTTTGTAGTTTTAGTAGAGATGGAGTTTCCACATGTTGGCCAGGCTGGTCTCGATCTCCTGACCCCAGGTGATCCACACACCTCAGCCTCCCAAAGTGCTGGGATTACAGGCGTGAGCCACTATGCCCAGCCAATTATCTGACTTTATATGTGACATACCATTATGCAATATATCCTGTGCATTTTACACGCAAAAATGAGGAAAGAATTATTTACCTGAACCAAAATTTAGGACTATAGGTACTCAAACAGCCACAGTGTTTTACAGTTTTATGTCTATAAAATAAGTTTCACAATAAAGACAAAATTCGCAAGATAGAATTCAGGTTTCACATACACACTCTGCAATATAAGTCAACTTTTGATTATAACCACCAAAGTTCTCAATGACTGAAAAGCATTTTCTCCTAAATGGTAAAGTATTACATGCTTACAACAAAAAACTAGGAAAACAGAAACAATATAAAAAATGAAATTAAAATCAAAATTCCATCACATATAGACATTTTATATAAAATTTTGATATATCTTCCTTCAGATTTTTTTTTTTTTTTTTGAGACAGGGTCTCACTCTGTCACCCAGGCTGGAGTGCAGTGACATGATCTCAGCTAACTGCAACCTCTGCCTCCTGGGCTCAAGCGATCCTCCCACCTCAGCCTCCCAAATAGCTGGGACTACAGATGTACACCACCATGCCCAGCTAATTTTTGTATTTTTTTTTGTAGAGATGGAGTTTAAAATTCAGAATCTGAATTTTAATAAGCTCCCAAATGTCCAGGTTGATCTCGAACTCCTGAGCTCAAGTGATTGACGTGCCTCAGCCTCCCAAAGTGCTGCGATTACAGGCGTGAGACACTGCGCCCAGCCTTCCTTCAGATTTTTGCATCCCAATGTATTTTAAAAATTGGAATAATTTATGATATATTAATAGTTCTACATCAGATTGTCTCCCCTACTTATATTCCTTTATCATCCTTAAATGTTCTTCAAAAACACCCAATAGTTTTGAAAAACAACTATTAACAGTTATTAACTTAGTGCTAAACTCTAAATTAGTTTAGCACTAAGTTAAGCTGGGGGATAAAAACTATTTCTACACTATAGAAAACATAATGCTCAGGTAGAAGAAAGAGAATATATATTGCTATATTTATAGGGCCAAAATATGACTCTGCATTGGGACCAAATCTAGGTTATAACACCTTTTCCAGATTTATTTTCAAACTAGTTCTAAAGATTAGAGGACAGAAAATATCACTGAAATACTTAGTAAAGAAATAGGTGATTCAAAATCAGGTGGCATAGAAAACAAAAAAGGGTATATTAGGAAAGTAATTTGCCCAGAGAGCAAATTAAAAAAAAAAAAGGGTTTCCCTTTGAATGAACTATGCATCACCTGCCAAATTTGGATTCCTAAACTTTAGACAAGATTGGCCAGAACACAAATGGGAACAGGTTGCCCATAGTCATTCTTCTTCAGTGGTAAGAGAAAAAAAACAACCTGTTATTGATACAAAAAAGAAGTAACTCTTTTAACACTGTTATTCAACATAGTACTGGAAGTCCCAGCTAGAGCAATCAGACCACAGAAAGAAATAAAGGGCATCCAAATTGGAAAGGAAGAATAATTCACAGTCTATTCAAGAAGTTGGTTTCCTTCATTTCCTCCCTAACAATGAGCTTTCTACATAGACAAAGCCCTACCTTCATCCTCTGTTTTAAATTTTTTTTTTTTTTTTTTGAGACAGGATCTCACTCTGTCGCCCAGGCTAGAATGCAGTGGTGTGATCATAGCTCACTGCAGTCTTGAGCTCCTGGGCTCAGGTAATCATCCCACCTCAGCCTCCCGAGTGGCTGGGACCACAGGCACATGCCACCACACCCAGCTAATTTTTGTACTTTTGTAGAGACAGGGTTTTGCCATGTTTTACAGGCTGGTCTTGAATGCCTGGGCTCAAAACGATCCTCTCACCTTGGCCTTCCAAAGTGCTGGGATTACAGGATGAGCCACTGCATTCAGTCTAAATTCTCTTTTCCACATACCAAATGAACAAATTTATTAAAGGTGAATAAACAGTACAAATTATTATTATTATTATTATTGAGACAGGGTCTTGCTCTGTCATTCAGGCTAAAGTGCAGTGGCACAATCAAGGGTCACTGCAACCTCGAAGCCTCAACCTCCCTGGGCTCAAGCAATCCTCCTGCCTCAGCCTCCTGAGTAGCAGGGACTACAGGTGCACACCACCAGGCCTGGCTAAATTTTGTTTTTTGGTAGAGACAGGGCTTTGCCATGTTGCCCAGGCTAATCTCAAACTCCTGGGCTCAAGCTATCTACCCACCTCAACCTCCCAAAGTGCTAGGATTACAGGAGTAAGCCACCGCAACCAGCCAATTTTAATAGTTTATATGGCATGATGCTTGTGCTCCTAATTCCTAAAGTAGTATCTTGTTTATGACTTTACCATTTAATAGTTGTCATTTATGTTCATTTTATAATATATTATATATTATATATGATAATACTATAATATTACTATATACTATGTATATAAGTATATACTGTATATAGTATATATATTATATATAGTGTATACATATTTTATATAGTATATATAATAATATATAGTATTATTCTATAGTAATATATAGTATTTAAAGAACAGTATGGAAAACATTTTAATCTATTCAATCATAACAGGAAATTGATTTTAATCCAGAAATAAATAAATGGAAGCTAAAACTACTTACAGCAGCCTTGGTTTGAGAAAGTGCATCCCACGATGTGGTTATATCTGCTGGGAAAAAAAATGATATTTACTTTATCAATCAACCAGAATCTCTGAATTAGACCTCAGAATCTGAATTTTAATAAGCTCCCAAATGCACTCAAAAGTCTGAAAACTACCTTATTAGGCAGAACAATTCCTCAGCAAATGCTTTATTATATTGAGTCAAAATGGGTTTTTATCTATAAGATTATTAAGCCAACATTCCCAACATACGGTTTAAAGGTAAACAGACACTGCTACCATTGGACTGGCATTTCCACTCACACCTGTATCAGACAGCTCCAAAAAAAAGCAGCATCCTCAGTTTACCCCAATGAGCTGAACAAATATAAAATTTTATATTGTACTGTATCTTATAATACAATGTGAAAAAGATTAGAAGCTATTCCAGATTTTGATCTACCAGTAAAAACATAGGTAAAATCCATTCAGTCTTTCAGATAACAACCCTTCAAATAGTTTAAGGTCGTGTATTTTCCATAAGTCATCCTTCTCCAGGATAAGTATTTCCACTTCCTCCAACTACTCTTCATATGACTTGATTTCCAGATCTCTCACAAACCTAATAATCTTCCTCCAGATGTACTCTAGTTTGTCAATCTCCCTCAAAAAATATCAATGCCTTAAAATTACCTCTAATGCATTATTTTAAAAAGAATTCAATGAGACTGTTACTATTATTATCTGTACCCCTATAAGTCTGTAACTATATTGGGGCTATATCATTTATTGAAATTAGGACAGAATTTCTGAAAAATTTTACATATACTGGTTCATTTTAAAAAAGGATTCCTGCTTTACAAAACAGTTTACCATAGGATGCCTTTTAACATGAAGCACCAGGTATATTTAAAATATAAGAGAATTTTAAAATGATTTATCCACTTTCTATAAATCAAAGCATAGGTATAATTTTCATTTATTAGACCAAAATTTAATACACATGACCTAAATGAGGTATTAAGTTCTGTTTAAAAAAACAAAATCATACCTTGAACAGTATCCTTGCTTTGAGAGTTCCTTGGATTTGGTAAAGGCACCTCTTTTGATTTGCTGCTCCTCATCCTGCCAATTTACCTGCAATCACATCAGTATTCACCGAACATCAATCTTATAATATTACTTTTCCTTAGAAAAATAAATCATTAAAAATTATATTATGACTACTTCACACCCATTAGGATGTAAATAGGACAAGCTACTATCAAAAACACACAAAATAATAACAGCTGGCAAAGATTTGCAAAACTAGAACCCGTGTGTGCTGTTCGTGGGAATGTATGACACAATCACTATGGAAAACAGTGTGGCAGTTCCTAAAAAAAGTAAAATTAGAATTACTGTAAGATCCAGCAATTCCACTTCTAGATATATGATATGGTTTGGTTCTGTGTCCCCACCCAAATCTCACCCTGAATTGTAATCTCCATAATCCCCAAGTGTCATAGGCGGGACCAGGTAGAAGTAATTGGATCAGGGGGGCAGTTTCCCCTATGCTGTTCTCATGATAATAAGTGAGTCTCGTGAGATCTAACGGTTTTATAAGCGTCTGGCATTTCCCCTGCTTGCACTAATTCTCTCTCCTGCCACCCTGCAAAGAGGTAGGTGCCTTCTGCCATGATTGTAAGTTTCCTGAGGCCTCCCCAGCCATGCAGAGCTGTAAATCAATTAAACATCTTTTCTTTATAAATTACCCAGTCTTGGATAATTTATAGCAGTGTAAGAATGGACTAATACAGTATACAACCAAAATGCTTGTGGAGGCTCAAGGAACTATTTGTACAACCATGTTCAAAGCAGCATTATTCATAGTAGCTAACGTGGAAGTAGCCCAAATGTCTATCAACAGATGAATGAATAAGCAAAATGACATTTATATATAAAATAGAATATTATTCAGCCTTAAAAGGAAGGAAATCTGATATGTGCTATAACATGAAAGAATCTGGAGGACATTATACTAAGTGAAATAAGCTAATCACAAAAAGACAAATACTGTATGGTGCCACTTACATGAGACAGTCAGAATAGTCAAAAACATAGAGACAGAAAGTAGAATGGTGGTTGTCAGGGGCTGGGAAAAGAGAAGAATGGAGAGTTACTGTTTAATGGGTTTCAGTTTTGCAAAATGAAAAGAAATCTGGAAATGGATGGTGGTGATGGTTGTACAACAATATGAATGTACTTAACACCACTGAACTGTACACTTAAGAAATGGTTGTAATGGTAAATTTTGTTATGTATATGTTACCACAATAAAAAAAGAAAGGAAAAAAATCATATCACAACTCAAAGGGAAAGATCATGATCTGCCCATGGTTAGCTCAGTGATAAGTAATACTGTATTTTCCTATGAATATAGAGGAACTAGTCTTTTATAAAAATCATGTAACAACACAGAAAGTTTGAAAAATATAAGAATAAAAACTCATTACTCCCTAAATCCTAATATAATCATTAATAAGTAATTTTATTACTATCATCACTGTAACTTCAATTTTGTGCCCTACTTTACTTAACTGCTGGACACTTGTGGTGGTTTTAAAATATATCCAAAATTTCTTTGATACTCCTTTCTTCAAAATGTGGAAATTAATTATTCTCCCATTGAGTATGGTGGGACTTAGAGACTTATTTTAAACTAATATCACATGTGGTGAAAGTGACAATATGTGACTTCTGAGACTAGGCTATAAAACGCATTCTCATCTCTCTTTGGATACAGGTGCCATGTCCTAAGAACAGTCAAGCAATCCTATAGATGTCCATGTGGCAAAGAACTGAAGCCGCCTGCCTATAGCTATGTGGGTGAGCTATCCCCTTGCAAGTAGATCCTCCAGACCAAGTCAAATCTTCACAGGACTACAGCTCTACCTGACATCCTGACTGCAACCTTATGAGAGACATTGAGCCAAAATCACCCAGATGAGCTGCTCCCAAATTCCTTACATACAGAAAATGTGAGATCACAAATGCTTGGTGTTTTAAAATGCTTAAATTGGGGTGGGAGGTTATGAGTTAGACAACAAGAGATAACCAATACAATATTATGTCCCATTTTCTCTATTACAAATAACACTGAAATGAACATATTTGTATTTATGAATTTCTGCTTATTTGGTTACCTAGAACAGTATCTGCAAAGTGTGCTAAAACTGAACAAAAGAATGTGAAGAACATGCTGCTCTTGAAATACAATGTCAAATTGTCTTCCAAGAAGGGCCTACCTGTTTCATAAATATCTTAAGATTATCTATTCTTTCTACTTTTGCTGATTTAACAGGAAAAAAATCTATGCTTTAATTTGAATTTGGTAGATGCTAGCAGGATTAAACGTTCTGCTCTATATCTTAACCTTAGTGCTTCATTGGTGAATTATCTTTTCTATCCTTTGCCCACGTACCTACCAGGATCTTAATGTTTTTCTTATCAAGTTAATGAGTTATTTGCCTTACAAATATATTAAACCTGTCATATTTGATAAACATTATTTTCTCCACTTAGTTGTATGCAGAGGCAGTACGGTATGTTGAATATTAAAAACACCAATTTAAATTTAAGAAAAAGAAGGGCTCACCTATTAAGTCCAAATATGTAAAACTAAAAGGTATGGTTAATTTTTAAGGAAGTTAATTTAATCTGATTTATCAGGGTAAATAATCCTGATCCATAAATTTCCTAGAAAACACCTCAAAAATGTTCTAAAAATAGGGCCAGGCACAGTGGCTCAAGCCTGTAATCCCAGCACTTTGGGAGGCTGAGGCAGGTGGATCACCTGAGGTCAGGAGTTCAAGACCAGCCTGGCCAACATGGCGAAACCCTGTCTCTACTAAAAATACAAAAATTAGCCAGGCATGGTGGCGCACATCTGTAAGCCCAGCTACTCAGGAGGCTGAGGCAGAAGAATTGCTTGAACCCAGGAGGCAGAGGTTACAGTGAGCCAAGATCGCACCACTGCACTCCAGCCTGAGCAAGAGAGCGAGACTCCGTCTCAAAAAAAAAAGTTCCAAAACTAGAATTTTTTCATAGATTATAGAATATGGCTCTAAGAAAAGTAAACAAGTTTCCTGAAAATAAAGGAGCATGGTAGAAAAACAACATTTTATCAACCATAAAACTTTAATCTGCCAACACAGTTTAAGAAATTAACTCATTTTGGCTGGGCGCGGTGGCTCACGCCTGTAATCCCAGCACTTTGGGAGGCCGCAGGAGGTGGATCATGAGGTCAAGAGATCAAGACCATCCTGGCCAACACAGTGAAACTCTGTCTCTACTAAAAATACAAAAATTAGCCAGGCATGGTGGCGGGTGCCTGTAATCCCAGCTACTCACGAGGCTGAGGCAGGAGAATCGTTTGAACCAGGGAGTCGGAGGTTGCAGTGAGCCAAGATCGCGCCACAAGACTCCAGCCTTGCAACAGAGCAAGACTCCATCTCAACAACAACAAAAAACTCATTTTCCTTTTGATGAAAATATTTTTAATCTAGCCAACTGAAAAATTAAGTAAACATCAGTTATATTACTAGAATATCTGTCAATGATTAGACAAAAAATTTCTTTGGGCAGATATCTTTTTGCTTTAAAACTAAAATAAGTGCTGAAATATATAGTGATTATCAATTTTCCAATGGAAAGGATATAATAAATAATCAAAAACTACATATGTGTCCACAATCTCTATGTCTTCTTAGCTAACACTAAGGCTGAGACAGTATAAATGAATAAACAAGAGAAAATTTATCTGCTTCAAAATAAATACCCTATTAATGGGCAATCATCTTTAATATAAATTACTAAATATTAAAAGTATGACATTTATGTAAAACTTCATACTGTAGAGTATCCCCCACTAATAATGAGAATGAATTACAACTACATGCAAAAAGATAGTTGAATATCACAAACCTGTTGTGAAGAATGCCAGAAACAAGAGTATATACCATATAGTTCCATTAAATAAAGTATAAAATAGGCAAAAGGAATCTATAGTGCTAGAAGTGAGGATAGTCATCACCCTTGAAGTGGCTAGAGAGGTGGCTGAAATTGGAGCAAGGAAGTGCTTCTGAGGTACTGCTAATATTCATGGATTTGGGTGCTGATTTCAATGGTACGTTCAGTTTAAGAGACTTTATCAACTTGCACATTTATGTGCTTTTTCAATGTATATTATACTTCAAAGGATTTTCAGATAACATGAATTATGCCCTGTTTTAGGTTTATAATTCTAGTTTTTGAGGCTTTTTTAAGAGACAAGGTGTCACTCTGTTACCCAGGCTGGAGTGTAGTAGTGCAATCAAGGCTCACTGCAGCCTCAACCTCCTGGGCTCAGGTGTTCCTCCCACCTCAGCCTCCCAAGTAGCTGAGACTACAGGTACACACCACCATGGCCGGTTAATTTTTTTTTTATTTTTATAGAGATGAGGTCTCACTATGTTGCCCAGGCTGGCCTCAAATTCGTGGGTTCAAGTGATCCTCCCACCTCAGCCTAAAGTGCTGGGATCATGGGTGTGAGCCACCAGATGCAGCCTATAATTATAGTTTTAAATCAGTTTTATGATATCTATTCTCATGAAGCACCTGAATTTGCCAATAATCTATCTTTCAAAATCTTTGGTTATCCCATGCCCTGTAAGTGAATATTTTAAACATAATGTGTTAAAGTTGGTCTGTTCTTTAAGAATACATTTTTTAAATCACCATTTTTGTAGAAACTGAAAATTGAATTAGTGAAAAAAGTGCAATAAAAAACTTACTTATAATAAAATAATCTATCAAAAGGTTTACTATCTTTAAAGTATAAATCTCAATTTGCATAAGGCCTTTTTCCCAACCAGTTTTAAGTGTTTACCAAGTCAAACAGATTATTCAAGATCACTTCTTGCGGAATAATGAAAGCACCTTCCCAGTTAAATGTTTTAGAGATATCATGACAATAACTTTATTCTACAGTCATATGGGAAATTTGGATTTATTTATTTGTTGGACATTTGTGTATTATCTTTTGTCTATTTAATTTGCCAAGAATTAAGAGATGGACAAAAATTCACTGGAAGTACTGAATTTTTGTCCATTTCATATTTCTAAAATATTTAACTTCTAAATAACTTGATATTATTTGGTATATAAAAGTTCATGGTTATGCTGTCAATGGATTTTATATTTCATCAATAAAAAATGACTATGTTTATCCCTAGAGAAATGTGTTTTAGTATTTAATTCTACTTTGCATGCTATTAATAAAAAGCAAACATTGCTTTATTGAATCTGCCCTTTCCTTTTAATTCTCAGCTTTGTGGATCACTTTCTTTTAAACATATATTGTATATAGAAAATAGAATTTTTTAACCCAATGTAATAATATTTGTCTTTTAGGACTAAGAATGAGGAAAGTAATCTTGCATATCAACTGCTTGTGCTAACAATGTTTTTTGAGTACCTACTTTGTGCAAAGCATTGTATGTTATTAAAAAAATTAAAAATAAGAAATGGTCCTTACAGATGAAAAAACTGAGAGGGAGAGAGAGAGAAAGAGAGAGAGAGAAATGGTTCTGACCTCTACAATCTCATAATCTAGTACAAGTATTCTTAACCTAGTAATCCATGAATGAGCTTTTCCTCTAAGATCTGAAACAAGACAAGGATGCCTACTTCCACCACTTTTGTTCAACATAGTTCTGGAAACCTTAGCCACAGTAATTAGGCAAGAGAAAGAAATAAAGGGCATCCAAATTGCAAAGGAGGAAGTCAAATAGTCCCTGTTTTCAGACAATATAATCATACATATAGGAAATCCCAAAGACTCCACCAAAAAAAAATTAGAACTAATAAATGAATTCAGTAAATTTGTAGGATACAAAATCAACATACAAAAATCAGTAGTGATTCTATATATAAATAATGAACTACCTTAAAAAGAAATCAAGAAAGCAATCCCATCCACAGTAAATACAAAAAAAAAGAAAAAAAAAATCTGCCTAGGAATAAGTTTAACCAAGGAGGTAAAAAATCTCAACAAAGGAAACTGTAAAACACTGATGAGAAAAGTTAAAGAAAACACACAAAAAAGAGAAACACCCTGTGTTCATGAACTGGAAAAATTAATATTGTTAAAATGACCATACAACCCAAAGTGATCTACAGGTTCAATACAATCCTTATCAAAATACCAATGGTATTCTTCACAGAAATAGAAAAAACAATCCTGAAATCCATATGGAAACACAAAAGACACCAAATTGCCAAAGCAATCCTGAGCAAAGAAAACAAACCTGGTGGCATCACACTACCAGATTTCAAAATATACTACAAAGCTACAGTAACCAAAACAGCATAGTACTGCCATAAAATCAGACATATAGACCAATGGAACAGAACAGAGAACATCCATGTATTTATAGCCAACTGATTTTTTACAATGGTGCCAAGAACATTCATTGGGGATAGTCTCTTCAATAAATAGTGCTGGGAAAACTGAATCTCCATATGCAGAAGAATGAAAACAGACCCCCATCTCTCACACTACACAAAAATCAACTTGAAAGGGATTAAAGACTTAAATATAAGAACCCAAAACTATAAAATAATTAGAAGAAAACATAAGGGAAACAGTTCAGGGCACTGGTCTAGTAAAAGATTTTATGAACAAGACCCCCAAAAGCACAAGCAACAAAAGCAAAAATTAACAAATGGCATTATATCAACCTAAAAAGCTTCTGCACAGCAAGGGAAACAATCAACAGAATGAAAAAACAACCTAAAAAATTGGAGGAAATATTTGCAAACTACTCACCTGACAGGGAATTGATATCTAGAACATACAAAACTCAAACAACTTAAGAGCAAAAAAAAAAAAAAACACCCCAAATAATCTAATTAAAAATGGGCAAACACAAATGGTCAAGAAACATGTTTTTAAAAAGCTCAACATCACTAAGCATCAGGGAAATGCAAATCAATACCACAATAAGATATCATCTCACTCCAGTTAGAATGGCTATTACCAAAAAGACAACAACAAATGCTAGCGAGGATATACAGAAAAAGGAACTCTTACATACTATTGGTGGGAATGTAAACTAGTATATCCACTATGGAAAACAGTATGGAGATTCCTCATAAAATTACAAATAGAACTGTCATATGATCCAGCAATCCCACTACTGCATATTTATCCAAGGGAAAGAATATCGGTATACTGAAGAGATATCTGCACTTCCATGTTTATAGCAGCATTATTCACAATAACCAAGAAATGGAATCAACCCAAGTGTCCGACAACAGATGAAGAGATGAAGAAAATATGGAACTATATCCTGTCTATAAGAGACTCACTTTAGATCTAATGACAAAAATAGACTGGAGTTAGCAGGCTGAAAAAAGAAACTGCATGTAAACAGTAACCAAATGAGAACACGGGAGGTCACAATTATATTAGGCAAAACACATTTTAAGTCAAAACCATTCACATTTCCATAAAAAAGAAAAGAAAAATATATATGCACAATGGAATACCATTCAGCCTTAAAAAGAAAAAAATTATGTCATTTACAACAACATGGATGAGCCTGGAGGACGTTATGTTAAGTCAATAAGCCAGGAACAGAAAGCTAAACACAGCATGTTCTCACTCCTATGCAGAAGCTCATAGAAGAGCTCTTCTCATAGAAAAGTAGAACAGAGGTTAGTAGGGGCTGGGAGGGGGGTTAAGGGGGCTTAGGAGAGATTTGCTAAAGGATACAAAATTACAGCTAGATAGAAGGAATAAGTTCTAGTGTTCTATAGCACTGTAGAATGGCCACAGTTAACGAGAACATATTGCATATTTTCAAGTTGACAGAAGAGAAGATACTGAATGTCCCCAACACAAACAAGTGATAAATATTTGAGATGATGGATGTGCTAATCACCCTGATCTGATCACTACACATTGTATCAAAACATCACTATTGCCCCATGAATATGTGCAACAATTGTGTCAATTTAAATTTTTTTTTAATTTAAAAGATAAAGTTAAGCATTCTGTTATATAGTAATAAGCTTGTCACAACATTCTACTTTCATAATGGAAGATAGCCAAAGTTCTCTGTACAGTCATGCGCCATGCAATGATGTTTTGGTCAACACAAACCACATATATGACAGTGGTCTCTTAAAACTATATTGGAGCTGAAAAATTTCTATCGCCTAGGATTTACTATACCATACTTTTTATTGTTATTATAGAGTGTGCTCCTGCTATTTACTAAAAATAAAAATACATATTTTATACATATTTTATTTTATAAAATATATTTTTATAGATAAAAATATTTTTAAAGTATAAAAAGTAAAAACATAAAAATTTAAATTGAACAAAAGCTTACAGAATAAGGATATAAACTATTGCTGTACAGCTGTATATTTGTTTTAAGCTAAGAATTATTACAAAAGAGTCAAAAAGTTTTAAAAAATTAAAGTTTATAAAGTAAAAAAAGTTACAGTAAACTAAGGTTATAACTGAAGAAAGATTTTTTAATCAACTTAGTGTAGCCTAAGTGCACAGTGTTTATAAAGTCTACATAGTGTACAGTAATGTCCTAAGCCTTCAGTAGCCTTTTGGACTGCTTTATTTTCTGAGGCTTACTGTCTGCCAGGGTCTAAATTCAAATGATCTTCAATTATCTGCAAATAGCTTTCTTCTTCACATCAAGTGATATAAGAAATAATATAATAAACACCCATGTAGCTACCTCTCGGTTTAAGGAATAAACTATTACCAATTTGGCTGGAGTCCTCTGTGTATACTCTGCTCATACTCATCTCTCTCCCCTCATCCAGAAAGAATAACCTCTAGCCTGAACTCAGTATTTACCATGTTCATCTTCCTTCAACTCTAACATTTTTCAAAAGTCAAAAAGGCCACCTTCCCACTAAGCACAAAACAACTGATCACAAATTATGCCTTCAAAATGTTCCCAAAAAGCTTTGTTAAATGAAGCTGTGTAAATACTAGAGATATCAATCACCCATAGTCCCCTAGTCCTTTTCTCTAGGGAATTACCCCTATCCACTACTGTGATCCACAAAGACCTGCCCCTCACCCCAGCTCTAGCTGACTGGATAAGGCCTAAGGAAGCGACTCAAAAGCATCCTATCCAGTCCCGGAAAAACAGACTGCAGAGTTTTGGAATTGAAAGGATAAGCAACGGAACATGAGCTATAAGGAGCCAAGCTGAAAAATACAATGAAAAACAAAGAGGAAGATCAAAGAAAAACAAATAAAAGTGGCCCCAAAGAAAAGGAAAAAGTGGTCTTGTTCTTGACAATTTTCCAGTTCCCATAATGCTAGTACCTCATTTTCTGCTCTTGCATTCTTTGAGGCCTCTCTGAAGTCTTAGAACAAATTTCCCTTTATTTGAGTTTCCTTACGGGGGAAAAATAAAAGATAAAAACCCACAGAAAAAGAGGATCCAACAAAATAGTATCATTCATTTCAAACCTCTAAATCATGTACTTAGAGAGAAAAAAGCTATTAATGAAAAATATATTTGAAATTCATTTCCTATATTTCATTTCTTGTATTTCTTACATTCATATATTTCTTTTTTTTTTTTTTGAGATGGAGTCTCACTGTCGCCCAGGCTGTAGTGCAGTGGCGCGATCTCGGCTCACTGCAAGCTCCACCTCCCAGGTTCATGCCATTCTCCTGCCTCAGCCTCCCAAGTAGCTGGGACATATATTTCTTAACACATTTTTTGTAGCATACTGGAAATGAATCTCAAATATACTACAAAAAAAGTGTTAAGAAATGTACTGTTTTTAAGAGACAGAATAGAGAAAATACCCCAAAATGAATGACAGTTCCTCTCAGAGATGTGTGCAGGGTTTTCTCTGGTCATCAGAAAATGTTTTCTTTTAAGCCCACTGATAAAATGTTGCTTTTATCTTTCACTTTGTTATGAACAGTCCTTCAACTAAAAAGTCTATGTTTTTTAAACCAAAAATTGGAGTATAGTCTAAAAAGCTATTTTTTTTTCTGATTTACAGGCTTATTCTTATGAAAGTCTTAGAACAATTTAAACATTAAAAAAGAATTGTATCTGTCTAGAAAACCTAGGAAATATGCCTACATTCTAGTAATACAATTTTCCAGTCAACAGGCATACAACACTAAGTTATGAATATTTGGGATCTTAAACTTTCACCTTAAAACTCTCACTACTCTTGGGATTCGTAAAACATATTTCTCCTGTTTCCCTTGCCTCTTGATTGTTTTTTTCTCTTACCTCTCTTAACTCCTGATGGGTTCTCTACTTCTGTCTAATTCATCAATGGTAACATTTCCAAGGCTTTTTCCTGGGCCTCTTGTTCTCTAGCTCCTTCTACCCAGGCAACCTCACGTACTTTCATGGCTTTATTTCCTAAATGTTCTATTTCCTCCTTAGATCTATTTCTGAGCTCTAGATGCAAGTTTTCAGTCTATTAGATGTCTATCACCAAGCACCATTGGCACCTCAAATTTTTCATGTTCAAAACCAAATAAATTCATTATCTATCTTCAAAATTTTCTTCTTGTACTCTTAATAAATTGGATTAACATGCATCCAATTCATCTTTGACATTCCTATCTCTCCCACGTTCCATCATATACTTAGTTATCATATCATTTATACCTTTGTTTCTTTATTATATGTAAAATATGCCTCATACATAAAGCTATTTGTAAAAAAAAAAATTAAGATGTTTCTCTAATTTCTTTCTTTCTTCCCCTTGCCTCTGTTCAAAGCATCATCTTTAGCTTAAATTATGGTAAAAGCTTCCTAAATTATCCTGCTCCTAAATCCATTCTCCATACTGCAATCAAAGTTATCGTTCTAAAACAGAACCTAGCAATTCTGATTTTATAACTCTTCAATGACTATCATTTATGGGACAGAGCTCCAAACTCCTTAGCATGATGGACACTTGGAGACCTTCACAACATTAATTTACAGTCTCATCTTTTTATTTTTTTTTAAGCAAAACTGTATAACTACTTTCCTGTCGAATAGGTATATCTAGAGTACACTTTCTGAATATCCAGAAAATTTCATTATCTCCACATTGTCTTTTCCTAAATTTTATCTGGCAAGAATGCCCTTCAAAGCCAAACTCTAATGTCATCTCCTATAAATCTTTCCCAAACTGGCTCTTAATAAAATTAGTACTTCAATTAGTACTTCTCTGTTTCCTATAGTATTCTCTTCATTTTTTCCTTTTCTTTTTTTTTCTTTTTTAGAGACACGGTCTTGCTCTGTCACCCAGGCTGGAGTACAGTGGTGCAATCATGGCTCACTGTAGCCTGAAACTCGTGGGCTCAAGCGATCCACCTGCCTCAGCCTCCTGTGTTGCTAGGACTACAGGCATGCGCCACCATGTCCAACGAATTTATCTTATTTTTTTAAGAGACAGATCTCTCCTGTTGCTCAGGCTGTTCTTCAAATCCTGGCCTCAAGCAATCCTCCTGCCTTGGCCTCCCAATGCACTGGGAATACAGGCATGAGCTACCATGGTTGGCCTCTGTTCATTTTTCATAGTTCTTGTCATTATATATACATACACACATACATATATCATACATAATTCATTCATTCAATGAACATTCACTGAGCACTTATGGCTCACAATCAAGTAGAGGAGAGACACACATAAACAAATAGTATACAATATAATGAGTGCTGTAATAGAGTTACAAATAGCATATATGTATCAGTCTCCCCACAAGGTTGTGTGGTCCTTAAGGACTGTATCTTCTTACCCATCTAGAGATCAACAGAACCTTCAATGAACAGATGAACAAACGGCAGCATTAGAAGCTGTTATGAGCTCCATTTAAACAGAAAAAAATAGGCCAGGCACAGTGGCTCACGCCTGTAATCCCAGCACTTTGGGAGGCCAAGGCAGGCGGATCACAAGGTCAGGAGATCGAGACCATCCTGGCTAACATGGTGAAACTCTGTCTCTACTAAAAATACCAAAAAATTAGCCAGACGTGGTGGCAGGCACCTGTGGTCCCAGCTACGTGGGAGGCTGAGGCAGGAGAATGGCATGAACCCGAGAGGCAGAGCTTGCAGTGAGCCGAGATCACGCCACTGCACTCCAGTCTGGGCAACAGAGCGAGACTCCATCTCAAAACAAAACAAAACAAACAAACAAACACCAGCAACAACAACAAAAAAAAAACAGAAAAAAATAAAGGAGAATCAAAGGCACAGCTGCCAGTGGAAGGATGAATGGTGAAGAAGGAGGTATGATGGGTCAACAGAAGCGTTAAGAAACATGATCTCAGAAGCAGAAGAGGTAGTTAAAGGGCCAGGCTGCAAAACCACTCATAAGAAAGAAAGAGGAACAATTAACATATTTATCACTACGGCAGTAAATGAGGGGGAGAAAAAGAAATTGAAAAAATAGAAAATGAAAAGAAATGAAAAATAAGGAAATGAAATTCACATACTATTTTGCAAGTAGCCTGTAAGAATACATAGTAAAATAAACTACAAGGAACACACACACAAAATTTGACCCGCTGATAACAGGGCAAAGAAAAGCGCTACAAGTAGTCACATAATAAGCTAAATATATGATGTCATGGAAATAATGGGAGCCGTTTGATAAAGGCATGTCATCATTAATGTGCAATAAATCAGAAAACTGGAGTAAAAGATAATACTACTGCTCTATCACCAAGTAAAAGCCTAATTATGATTACACTAAAAAAAAGTATAAGAAATACATATAAACGTTACTGGATACTCATTTATACACTCACTGACAGGAACAGGGTGATTAACAGTTAAACTGGAACAATGAAAACACTGCCATCTAGATTCACTGAACAGCAGAAACTACTCAGAAGGGAAGACATTTCTCTCAGCTACCCATGCAAAGCAAAGATTGACTACTAGGTCTATGGCTTCAACCTCACAAAAAATGTTAGTGTTTCTTAAAAGGGAATGATGTACATAGATTATTTGCAGGAATTACTAGAGGGGTACCACTGCTGATTATTAGGCTACAACTTAGAAAACATATTTGCCTTGTTAAAAATGTTGTACCTATTGCGGCCGGGAGAGGTGGCTCACGCCTGTAATCCCAGCACTTTGGGAGGCTGAGGCAGATGGATCACGAGGTCAGGAGATCAAGACCATCCTGGCTAACATGGTGAAACCCCGTCTCTACTAAAAATACAAAAAATTAAAGGGGTGTGGTGGTGGGCGCCTGTAGTCCCAGCTACTCGGGAGGCTGAGGCAGGAGAATGGCGTGAACCCCGGAGGCGGAGCTTGCAGTGAGCCGAGATCATGCCACTGCACTCCAGCCTGGCGACAGAATGAGACTCTGTTTCAAAAAAAAAAAAAAAAGTTAAATACACTCAGTGTCCATTTAGACTCTGACTCTTCAAGCAACTCCAATGTGGTTGCCATCCCCATTTCTGAATAACTCTCATTAAAATCACCAAAAACCTCTTCATCTCCAAATCTAATGGGTATTTTCAATCCTCAACCTACTTGACCTCCTGGCAGCTTCATTACAATTGACCACTCTCTAAAAACACTCTTTTCGGCAGGGTGTGGTGGCGTGTGCCTGTAATCCCAGCTACTCAGGAGGCTGAGGCAGGAGAATTGCTTGAACCAGGGAGTCGGAGGTTGCAGTGAGCTGATATTGCACCACTGCACTCCAGCCTGGGTGACAGAGCAAGACTCCCTCTCAAAAAATAAAAAATAAAATAAACAGCACTCTTTTCCCTTGACTTCTATACACTACACTCCATACACACATTTTCCATACATACTCTTTTCCCTTGACTTCTATACACAACACTCCATACATACAATACATACATCTTCCCACTTCTCTAGTTCTCTTTCTCAGTCTCCTTTACTAGCTAGTCTTTCTCCATATGCCTTTTAAACCTTGAAGTTCAGGAGGATTTGACCTTCAGCTTTTTTGCTTCTAACACTATACTCTCTCGCTGGGCGACCTCACTCTTGCAAAAGGCTTTCAAAACCACCTACATGCCAATGACTACCAAAACATCAGATTTTACCTCTAATATCCTAACCCACATATCAAACTGCTTATTTAGAAATCTGAAAGGCACATTAAACTCACCATCTCCAAGAGCCAGCTCATTATCGCACAAAAAACAAACGAGGTATTCCTTATCTCAGTCATCCAGCTGCATAAACCAGAAACAACTACAAGAAAAGGTGACCTCAAGAAGAGATGACCATATGACCTGTAAGGTTCTTTTCTACTCTGAAGTTATAATCTATACTACCAGTTCTCAAAGTATGGTTCAGGGATCTTTGAGGGTCTCTCACACTCTTTCAGGAAGCATCTTTGAAATCAAAACTATTTCCATAATAATATTAAGACTTTGTCTTTTTTTATTCTCATTCTCTTATGAATGTACAATGGAGTTTTCCAAAGGCCACATGACATATGATATCACAGCAGACTGAATGCAAACAGAAGCAGATATGAGAATCCAGATGTCTTCTATTAAACCAGACACTAAAAAGAGTTGAAAAATGTCAAACAATGCCACTCACTGCTTTTTATTGTTGAGATACAGTTAGTTATTTTCCATTTTAAAATGTTAAGCCCAGGTGCAGTGGGTCACACCTGTAATCCCAGCGCTTTGGGAGGCCAAGATAGGAAGATTGCTTGAGTCCAAGAGTTCAAGACCAGCCTGGACAACAAAGTGAGACCCAGTGTCCACAAAAAAAAATTTTTAATTAGCCAGGTGTGGTGGCATGCACCTGTAGTCCCCACTACTCAGGAGATTGAGGTTGGAGGATCACTTGAGCCTTAAACGTCAAGACTGCAGTGAGCTATAATTGCACTACTACACTCCAGCCTGGGCAATGGGGTGAGACCCTGTCTTAAAAACAAAACAAGGCAGGGCGCAGTGGCTCACGCCTATAATCTCAGCACTTTGGGAGGTCGAGGCAGGCAGATCACCTGCAGTCAGGAGTTCGAGACCAGCCTGGCCAACATGGTGAAACCCAGTCTCTACTAAAAATACAAAAATTAGCTGGGTGTGGTGGCATGTGCCTGTAGTCCCAGCTACTTGGGAGGCTAAAGCAGGAGAATTGCTTAAACCCGGGAGGCAGAGGTTGCAATGAGCCGAGATTGCACTGCTGCACTCCAGCCTGAGCGACAGAGCAAGACTCTGTCTCAAAAAAAAAAAAAACAAACAACAACAACAAAAAGTTATTATTTTAACATGTAATAGGTTTATCATTATTTTAAATAAACTAACAAGTACACTGAAAATTTCAAATACAGTAAACATCAACAGATAAATCCCACATGAACAAAATCTTTTTGAGTCTTCCATAAGTCAACTGCATGAGGCAGTCTTATACCAAAACATCTGTGAAACAATGATCTATACCTGTGGTGTGTATACACAAGTAAGATATAAGATGACATTGTGAAATAGCCAATTCTCAATTATCTTCTAACAGCAAATTTTTCTTTCACATGTATTGACAGTGTTTTCATCCAATCACATAGTTTCATTTTGCTCAATATTTATTGGCCTCCTACTAAGTGCCAGGCATTAAGGGACAAAAGATGAAAAAAATGACTTCATTCTGGCTCTTAGAATATTTTCCACACCTTTGCTACATTTCAGTTCTCTGATCTATATCAGATCTATGATAGGTTAAGAAAAAGTTAACTGAAAGGTTAAGAAAAGACAACTCTGCAATATTCCTACTATCTATCCTCAACATAAAATGGACAAATGGTAAATTTAGTAAGGACCAGCAGACAAAAAAGTGGAAAATACTCAGTTATAACTCAGATCTATTACACTGTTCCAAGTAAATTCCAGAATAACCAACAGTCCTATAACATATTCTAATATACCACTAATCTGAGAATTTAGTCTCACCTGTTTCTACTTATAAAATATAAACCTCAAAAACTACTTTTACAAAAACTGAGTGACTTACTGTAATCCAGGAAATCCAGAAGATACTATGTAACATTAGTACTATTTTGGCCTTTGCAGCATAGGAAGTAGAGTAAGGATAAAAGAGAACACAATGTCCCACACTGATGAAATAAAGAGCTAAACTTCGTAAACAAGACACCCATAGTTTTTTATTTTAGGAGAGCTGAGGGCAGCAAACAGGACCAGAAATAACCAAAAGAAGGGGGGAGCCCTAAAAATAGGCCTACACTTTTGCTTACTCACTATCTAGTTATCCTGAGTACTTTTCTAAATTAATTTCAAGGAATATATCTACAAAAAGGTGTCTTACAGTTTGCAAGTCAGGATTATTTTTTGCCTAAAAGTATAAAAGTTTCACTATAAAATTTTCCCTTATACATAAGAAAGTGTTACTATTAGTTAACTCCAAGGAGAGGAAGTGAGGGTCCAGGATAGGAAGTAGATTTTTCAGTGTATATTTTTTTTATTTTTTAGAAGACAGGGTCTCATTGTTGCCCAGGCTAGTCTTGCTGAATTCCTGGGCTCAAGCAACCCTCCCACTTCAGCCTCCCAAGTAGCTGGGATTACAGCACACACCACCACACCCAGCTTCTGTTTCTGAATTCTTTTTTTAAAGCAGACACACTGATCACTTTTTGAGGAAAACTTCAAGGAAAAAAGAAATAATTTGTTTTTGTCTTTTTTAGAAACTGCTGCTTATTTTCCATCAACCCTGTTTCCATGTTGCTTAAGAGTCCATGCAAGAACAGCTTAAGGCCAATTCAGTGCTTATTCCTACCCATTCAGTGGCCTGAGCAGTGGGAGCTGTAGACCAGTCTTCTGAGCACTCCAGTCTTTAGTAGGAAACTGCTGAATAGGCACAGAGGGCACCCGCACGCCCTCAGACCAGTCTGCAACCTCAGGCTGAGTAGTGTTAAACTCCAGAGCTGACACAGTCCATTCACCCTAAAATTCTTCCTTGGTCACAGCGTTTTCAGCAGCAGCCTGCTCTGCTTTTTCAGTCTCTTCAGGATCTCTGTAGAAGTAGAGATCAGGCATGACTTCCCACGGGTGTTCACAGGAAATGGTGGCACACACACACAGAACTTCCCCGGCCAGCACCCACCATATCAAACCCACTGAGTGAGCTTCCTTATTGTTGCACGGGATGGCAATGTCCACACAGCGCAAAGGAGACTCTGTGTTACACAGAGCAATGGTAGGTAGGTTAACCTAAGATGCTTCAGTTTGAGGCTGGTGGTCAAACCACCACAAGCCATGGCTCCCGGAAGGCTGCCTGGATCTGGTTAGTGAAGGTTCCAGGAGTAAAGCAGTCAGCAATTGGAGTGGCTCCAGTGGCAGCAGCAAACTTCAACACAGCCTTCTGGCCAGTATTTCTGCAGAATATGACACTGACATCAGCGGGGTTTTCAAAGGTAACAATGGCACGAGCTGCCAGCAGAAGCTTCTTTCAGGTCCTCTTCAGATTTATGATGTAGATGCCATTACTTTTCCTTTTATAGATGTACTGTTCCATTTGGAAGTCAAGGCTGGTGCCATCTAAGTGGGTTCCTCCTGCAAGGAACTTAAGGACATCAAGGCCTCTGGATATTGTAAAAGTTTCCCTTTAAGTTACAATGGGAATCCAGAACAACACTGTATGCACCCCTCTCTGGGTAGCGTGGAAAGCAAGATAATTTTCAAAAGTCTCCTTCCACGTTCAATAACTTAGTCAACTGAGAGGCTGTTTAAGGAAATGGAAACAATTTTTCTTTCATTGGAAGCCTTTAATGACTCCTTAATGCAGTATACTTGCTTCCTCTTTATGAATCCATCCACAGAATGTTATCAATTCTCTTTACCCCTCTGTACTATTATTTACATATCTGTCTCTTACATAAAACTGCAGAGATGCAGAGATATTTTATTCCTCTTTTTTTTTTTTTTTTTGGAGACAGAGTCTTGCTCTTGTCATCCAGGCGGGAGTGCAGTGGCGCAATCTCGGCTCACTGCAACCTCTACCTCCCGGGATCAAGCGATTCTCTTGCCTCAGCCTCCCTAGTAGCTGGGATTACAGGCACATACCATCATGCCCAGCTAATTTTTATATTTTTAGTAGAGATGGGGTTTCGCCATGTTGGCCAGGCTGGTCTCGATCTCCTGACCTCAGGTGATGCACCCGCCTTGGCCTCCCAGAGTGCTGGGACTATAGGCCTGAGCCACAGCACCTGCTCTTATTCCTCTTTATATCCCTAGTTCACGCACAGTATATAGCCACATTGAGTGCTCCAGACCTGTTTGCCAAATGACAGTACCATTGATAAGTCTCAGAATCCAATTCTTAAATGCAAAAAGGCACAAATACACATATGAAGCCAGGTATTTCATATAACATGAAAAGGTTAGACATTCCTAAGCAGAAAATATCTTACACGGTAACACGTAAAAAAATAAGTATACGTGTGCATACATATTTTATATTTTAAAACAATCTCAAAATTAAAAATAAATTCTTTCATAAAATATTTTCACTTTTAAAATTTAGACATGAAATAATGAATGAAATGAAGCCAGCTGGGCCCGGTGGCTTACACCTGTAATACCAGCACTTTGGGAGGCCGAGGTGGGCGATCACCTGGGGTCAGGAGTTGGAGACCAGCCTGGCCAACATGGTGAAACCCCATCTCTATTAAAAATACAAAAATTGGCTGGACGTGGTGGTGCATGTCTGTAATCCCAGCTACTTGGGAGGCTAAGACAGGAGAACTGCTTGAACCCGGAAGGCGGAGGTTGCAGTGAGCCAAGATCACGCTACTGTACTCCCTCCTGGGCGACAGAGTGAGACTCAGTCTCAAAAAAAGAAAAGAAATGAAACATTAAGTTATAGCCAGTGCTATTACTATTACTTATCACTGATTTTTAGATATAGTTTTTAAAAAGGAGGGTGCCACAATTCCAGAAACAACTTCTACAAGCCCACTAACAACAACAAAAACTATAAATGGCTTTTTAAAAAAATCACCAAAACCCAAACTAATCAAAGATAAATCAGATTTTCTTTGGAAAAATATCCTTCTATTTGTACAAAGGTCTTCTTTACATCATTATTGCTCTATAACATTTAATAACTTATCATACAAAAATAGAGCAACTGTACACATTTTCAGAGATGATCTATTGTATAAAGTATAGTCTAAGAAGCCTCTCTGAACCTATTCTGGTTTGGAAGCTGGCTGATTTATGAACTCTTCTTTGCTCAATCAAATTCTGTTAAATTTAATTTGTCTAAGGTTTTTAATTTTAATAGATGGTGTCAGAAGTGGGATCCAAACTAAAGCTTCTAGCAACTCCCAGGAACACCAAGTGACAAAGCAAGGTACCCACTGGACTCATTTTGTCCACTGCTCTCTCAAAGCAACTGGAGATTGTGGGTAAGTTCTCTCTCAGATTCTGAAGCTCCATCAGTGTGCATTTGAGCTATCAGAGTTTGAGCAAATTTCTGATCCAAACTAGGTTTGGAAGTTACAACAGAAATTGGACTGGGTCCAGGATCCAACTGTATCTAACTGTCTTGGATCTAGTTAGAGGCCTCATATGTCTGGCTGGTTTAGACAGAAATTAGTATAAATGATAATACTGAAGGGGGTACCAATTTCAGCTTTCAGAAATTTGCATAGATTTTTGTGTTCTAGCCCCCTTTGTTTATTTTTCTTGCATGCTTAGGGAGGGAAAAATCATTGGCTAAGTTGATCAAAGGGATCCAAGGACCAAAGCTGCTATTCAAGGTAAAAATGGGATCCTTAATTTCTGAAGACCTGAGTACTACACCTTCCAGCTTATACATGCATTATTATTAGGCCTCAGAAGCAGCAAATGCTTACAAAAATGATGAAATCTTACTAAAGGTAATTTAAAATCACAACGGTACATTCCAAATGAACACTGCACTTTAAGAAGTACATTTGAAAATGAGGGCTCCCAAATCAGTCTCATCTAGGGATGCCTGTTGGTGTGCAGAAGCTTCTAAAAAGATTTCAATATTTTTATTGCTTTTTATAAAAAGACTCTTTATAGAAGGCAAATAAAAAGCTTAAGCAACTAATTGTTAAGAAAAATTAAATCTGCTAATCTTTCAGCTCCGTTACTACTCTTCCCTGAAGGTGAAAAGAAAGTTATCCTAGATAGCGTTTATAAAAGGTAGGTTGCCAGGTAAAGTAAGCTTCCTCCTTTTTCAGATCTATTTTTGCTGAGTCCAGGTACAGAGAAGGCTTTCTTTGCCCTATTCCTTAATGGGCTCCATCCTGAACTTAGTAATTTCAGCTAAGAAATAGTAGCTAGGTTAAAAAGATCACCTGTAGGCCGAGCACAGTGGCTCATGCCTGTAATCCCAGCACTTTGGAAGGCCAAGGAAAGTGGATCACCTGAGGTCAGGAGTTCAAGACCAGCCTGGCCAACATGGTGAAACCCCGTCTCTACTAAAAGTACAAAAAAAAAATTAGCCAGGTGTGGTGGCGGGCACCTGTAATCCCAGCTATTCAATAGGCTGAGACAGGAGTATCGCCTGAACCCAGGAGGCGGAGGTTGCAGTAAGCCGAGATTGCACAACTGCACTCCAGCCTAGGTGACAAGAGTAAGACTCTATCTCAAAAAAAAAAAAAAAAAAAAAAGAAAAGAAAAAGAAAAAAGATCACTTGTCCAATTAAAATAAACCTTTCTGGCATTTAGCTGGCTATTCTGAAATCCTTCTGTAAAAGAAATTTACATCTATAAAGGAGATTTCCATTTGTAAATGTATGTGCCTATATACATTAGAAACAGAACGTCAAAGCATAAAACTAACAAAGAAACTCTGGACTTAGACACTTGACCAAACGGACCTAACAGACTTCTACAGAATACTGTACCCAAAAATCACAGAATATACACTCTCATCTGCACATGGAACATTCTCTAAGATGGACCACAAGCTCAGTCATAAAGCAAGTCTCAATACATTCTTAAAAAATGAAATCATGTCAAGCATATTATCAGACTACAGTAGAATAAAATTAGAAATCAATACCAAAAGGAACTCTCAAAACCACAAATACATGGAAACTAAACAACTTGCTCCTAACTAACTTGGTTAAACAACAAATTAAGGCAGAAATAAAAAAATTCTTTGAAACAAATGAAAATAGAGAAACAAACATACCAAAACCTCTGGGATACAGCAAAAGCAATGTTAAGGAGAAAGTTTACAGCACTAAATGCCTACATCAAAAAGACAGTAAGATATCAAATTGACAACTTAAAGTTGAACTTAAAGGAACCAGAAAAAGAACAAACTAAACCCAAAGCTAGCAGAAAAAAAAGAAGTAACTAAGATCAGAGCAGAACTAAATTAATTGAGACCAAAACAAACAAACAAACAAACAACAACAAAAAAAACATACAAAGGATCAACAGAACAAAGTTAGTTCTTTGAAGGGATAAGCAAGATAGATAAACCTCTAAGTAAATTAAAAAAAAAAAAAGTGAGAAGATCCTAAGAAGCATAATCAGAAATGACAAAGGTGACAGAACTCATACTACAAAAATACAAAAGAGCCTCAGAGACTACTATGAACATCTTTATGTGCACAAACTAGAAAAACCAGAGGAAATGGATAAATTCTTGGAAACACACAACCTCCCAAGATTGAACAAGGAAGAAACTGAAATCCTGAACAGATCATAACAATTTACAAAATTGAATCAGTTATAAAAACAAATCTACAAACCAAAAAAAGACCAGGATCAGATGCATTCACAGCCAAATTATACCAGACAAACAAAGAAGAGCTGGTATCAATCTTACTGAAACTACTCCAAAAAATCAAGATCACACTGAATGGACAAAAGTTAGAAGCATCCCCTCTATGAACTGAAAAAAGACAAGGATGTGCACTCTTACGACTCCTATTCAACATAATACTTTCCATCCTACCCATAGGAATCAGGCAGAAAATTAAAATTTAAAAAAAGGCATCCATATAGGAAAAGAGAAACTCAAATTATCTCTGTTCAACCCTAAGGAGTCCTTCAAAAAACTCCTAGACCTAAGAAAAAGACTTCAGTAAAGTTTCAGGATGCAAAATCAACTTACAACAGTCAGTGGCATTTCTATATGCCAATAATGTTCAAGCTGAGAACCAAATCAAAAATGCAATCCCATCTATAATAGCCACATGAAAAATAAAATACCCAGGAATAAATTTAACCAGGGAGGTGAAAGATTTCTACAAGGAGAACTACAAAACACTGATGAAGGAAATAACAGATGACACAAACAAATGGAAAAACATTCCATGCTCATGGATTGGAAGAATCAAAATTTAAATGACCATACTGCCCAAAACAATCCAAAAATTCTATTCCCATCAAATTAGCAACATCATTTTTCACAAATTAGAAAAAACAATTCTAAAATTCATATGGAACCAAAAAAGAGCCTGAATAGCCAAGCAAAAAGAACACAGCAGGAGGCATCACATTACCCAACTTCAAACTATACTACAAGGATATCCTAACCAAAACAGCATGTTACCAATACAAAAACAGACATCTGTATCAATGTAACAGAATAGAGAACCCAGAAATAAAGCCATACACCTATAACCAGTTGATCTTGAACAAAGCTGACAAAAGCAAAAATGGGGAAAGGACACCTATTCAATAAACAGTGCTAAAAAGAAAAAAAAACCCAAAAAACACACAAAAAAACTGGCTAGCATGTGCAGAAGAATGAAACTGGACCCCCTACCTTTCACCACATACAAAAATTAACTCAAGACGTATTAAAGACTTAAACATAAAACCTCAAACTATAAAGATCCTATTTTAAAAAACCTAGGAAAAACTCTTCTGCACATGGGCCTAGGCAAAGAATTTATGACTAAAACCTCAAAGGCAAATGCAACAAAACAAAAATTCATAAACAAGATTTAATTAAACTAAAAAGCTTCTACATAGCAAAAGAATCAACAAAGTAAAGAGGTAACCTAAAGAATGGGAAAAAAATATTTGCAAACTGTACATCTGACAAAGGACTAGGATCCAGAATCTACAAGGAATCTCAAACAAATGAACAAGAAAAAAAAAATAACTCCATTAAAAAGTGAGCAATGGACATAAACGGATACTTCTCAAAAGAAGACATACAAGTGGCCAACAAACATATGAAAAAAATGCTCAGAATCACTAATCATCAATAAAATACAAATTAAAACCACACTGATACCATCTCACACCAGTCAGAATTGCTATTATTAAAGAGTTAAAAAATAACAGATGACAAGGATGCAGAGAAAAGGGAGTATCATACACTGCTGGTGGGAATGTAAATTAGTTCAACCCCTGTGGAAAAGAGTAGAGGGATTTCTCAAAGAACTTAGAACTATCATTAGACCCAGCATTCCCACTACTGGGTATCTATCCAAAGGAAAAGAAATCATTCTATCAAAAAGACACTGCACTAGTATGTTTATCACAGCACTATTCACAACAGCAAAGTCATTGAATCAAACTAAGTACCTATCAACAGTAGATCAGATAGGCCGGGAGCAGTGGCTCATGCCTGTAATCCCAGCACTTTGGGAGGCCGAGGTGGGCAGATCATGAGGTCAGGAGTTTGAGACCAGCCTGACCAACATAGTGAAACTCCATCTCTACTAAAAATACAAAAATCAGCCAGGCATGGTGGCATGTGCCTGTAATCCCAGCTACTCAGGAGGCTGAGGCAGGAGAATTGCTTGGACCCGGGAGGCGGAAGTTGCAGTGAGCCAAGATCACGTCACTGCGCTCCAGCGTGAGCAACAGAGCGAGACTCTGCCTCAAAAACAAAACAAAACAAACAAACAAACAAAAAACAGTAGATTAGATAAAGAAAATGTGGTACATATACACCGTGGAATACTACGTAGCCATAAAAATGAATGAAATCATGTCCTTTGGAGCAACATGGATGCAGCTGGAGGTCATTATCCTAAGCAAATTAATGCAGAAACAGAAAATCAAATATCACACCTTCTCTCACTTGTAAGTGGGGTCTAAACAATAGGTAAATATAGACATAAAGATGAAAATAAGATACTGTGGATTCCAAAAGTGGGAAAGGGCCGGGCGTGGTGGCTCACGCCTGTAATACCAGTACCTTGGGAGGCCAAGGTGGGCAGACCACTTGAGCTCACAAGTTTGAGACCAGCCTGGCCAACATGGTGAAACCCCATCTCTCCTAAAAATACAAAAAATTAGCCGGGCATGGTGGCTCGTACCTGTAGTCCAAGCTACTCGGGAGGCTGAGGCAGGAGAATCGCTTAAACCTGGGAGGCAGAAGTTGCAATGAGCCTAGATCAAGCCACTGCACTCCAGCCTGGGTGACAGAGACTCCATCTCAAAAAAAAAGGTGGGAAGTGACAGGTAAGGGGTAAAGGTTGAAAAACAACCTACTGGGTACTATGTTCGCTATTTCAGTGATAGGTTCAACAGAAGCCCAAACCTCAGCATGATGCAATATACCCATGTAACGAACCTGCACGTGTATCCCCCACAACCCAAATCTAAAATAAAAGCTAAAGCGTAGTCTAACTTCATTTATAACTAACCAGAGAAACAAACCGTATTAAAGCTGGACGTTAGGAGTCAACCAGCATCATATTATCAAGTGTGTAGTCATGACCCGTTAGTAGATTAAAACAAAACAAAACAATATCGTGGATTGGAGCTAGCATTTTTTTAATGGAACTAAATAGGATTGATTTGCAAATATCAAGTGTATTGAAGGTAGTGAGCGCTTTATTTTATTTTATTTTATTTTTGAGACACAGTCTCTCTGTCGCCCTGGCTGGAGTGCAGTGACGCGATCTCGGCTCACTGCAACCTACACCTCCCAGGTTCAAGTGATTCTCCTGCCTTAGCCTACTGAGTAACTGGGATTACAGGTGCGCGCCACCACGCCGAGCTAATTTTTTTGTATTTTTAGTAGAGATGGTGTTTCACCACGTTGGCCAGGTTGGTCTTGAACTCCTGACCTCAAATGATCTGCCTACCTCGGCCTTCCAAAGTGCTGGCATTATAGGCATGAGCCACCGCGCCTGGCCATGAGGCTGTTTAAAGTAAAACTTTGAAAAGTGAAACTTTTGATTCATTATATGTATACACATACACGTATAACACACATCTATTCTTTTTATTTAAAAAAATAAAAAATAAAGATAAATGTAAAAAATCAACCTTTGGGAGCACAGAACATGGAAAATATATATAGGTGTCCTGGTCAAAAGTTCAAGAGGTTCCTAAACTTTCTCAGTTCACAGACCCCTCAGTATGCCAGTTATTTTTTTCATGGAACCCCTAGGCCAAAAAAATACCTAACAGTTCCATTTACTAAGTAGTTCAGTCCACAACCTAAAAAGTATTTATAGCCTACCAACTTAGTAGCAGATCGAAAAATAAATATGTATAAATTGAAATAAATATTTTTATTACTAAATTACCACAACTACTTAATAGGATGTGTGTACCTACTAGATATTACACAAGTTCTCAAATCTTGAAATCATTTTGGACACCACCACCTTCATTTACTGTTCCAAATTGATTTTTGCATAGTACTTGCTTTTTATCACAGCAAACTCCCAAAACCTAGCGTTTGGAAGACACAGTGTCATCAAAAAAAATGGAACACAATCTCTTGTGTGGTATCTCAAACTGGTAGTTTGAGTAGTGTCCTATAGATGTCAAATATCCCACAGCTATCCAATATTGCTGTTTCCATTAAAATTTCTCAAATAATGCATAGTGTCCAGGTGAGTTACTATGGTGCTCCACAGTACGGCAGGTCCTCCATAACATAGTTTCATTCAATATCATTTCTTCACAATTTTGATGAGAAAAAAATTTTGATTTCCCCACCAGGGCTACCATCTATGTGGAGCCTGCATGTTCTCCCCATGTCTGTGTGGCTTTTCTCCGTATGCTCCAGTTTCCTCCCACATCAGAGAGGTGCACGCATTAGGTGAACTGACATGAATTGGCATGTCTATATGGTCCCAGTCTGAGTGAATGTGGGTGGGTGGGTGGGTGTGTGTGTGTCTGTAAATGCTACCTGCAATGGAATGGCAGCCTATCTTGTGCCCTACTTGCCGGGACAGGCTCCAGCCACCTGCCATCCTGAACTGAAATAAGTGGGTAATTATCTTGTTTTTAGTATTTCTTAAATGTATGCATAGGACCCATTTATTTCAATGTTTAATATTAGAGGTGTTTGGGGTCTTAGAAGTTGCAGTTTCCAAGTACTTATGGACAACATTAAGTGAGGATTTACTTCAGTGCACAGTTTAGGAATACTGGATTTAAGAAACACTGATCTAGCCTACGGGTTTACTTTGTAAAGTAAGAAATAAGACTTAAGGCTACAAAGCTAGGAGAAAAACAAATATATTTATTATAGATTTTCCTAAATTTCAACCTTCTGCCAACAAAAGTTTTTTTGTTTGTTTGTCTGTTTTGAGCCAGAGTCTTCCTCTGTCACCTAGGCTGGAGTGCAGTGGTGCAATCTTGGCTCACTGCAACCTCTGCCACTCAGGTTCAAGCAATTCTCCTGCCTCAGCTTCCCCAGCAGCTGGGATTATAGGAGCCTGCCACCATGCCCAGCTAGTTTTTTACTTTTAGTAGAGATGGGGTTTCCTTATGTTGGCCAGGCTGGTCTGAAGCTCCTAATCTCAGGTGATCTGCCCGCCTCAGCCTCCCAAAGTGCTGGGATTATAGGCATGAGACACCGCACCCAGCCAACAAAAGTTTTGTTTGTTTTGAGATGGAGTCTTGCTCTGTTGCCCAGGCTGGAGTGCAGTGGCAGTCTTGGCTCACTGCAACCTCCACCTCCCTGGTTCAAGCAATTCTCCTGCCTTGGCCTCCCCAGTAGCTGGGATTACAGGCCTGCCACCACGCCTTGCTAGTTTTCGTATTTTTAGTAGAGATGGGTTTCGCCTTGTTGGCCAGGCCGGTCTCGAACTCCTGACCTCAAGTGACCCACTTGCCTCGGCCTCTCTAAGAGCTGGGATTACAGGCGTGAGCCACCAAGTCCCAGCCCTTCCATCAACAAATGTTTTGACACAGGATCTAATTATGAGACACTCTGTTGATGAAATGTGTAGATCTCTAAAAATCACATTCAAAAATACATTTATATCACTATTTAATAGAAGAAAAAATTTACTTCCTTTTTTTAGAAAAAAGTTTCAAAAATTATAAAAGTGATTCTTACAATAAAACCATACAAAAATGTCTAAAGTAAAAAAGAAAAGTCATCCACTCCCTCAGGAATAACATGTTTAATGTCTATCCTTATAGACCTTTTTCTATTCACATGCAAAATGAAAACAAAACTACATTTGTCTATGTGTTTTTTAAATAAATCATATTCTATAGTATAGTGCAACTTATTTTTTCACTTAATTTTATATCATGAACATTCTTCCAAGTCAATACATAATTGTAACAGCAAACACTTATGTGGCGCTTATTAATGCTTATTTAGGGCCTAACTGTTAACTCATTTAATTCTCATGGTACCCCTGTAACATGAGAACTACTAGTATATCCAATTTATAGTTGACTTTAAGTAATTCGCCAAGAGTCACAGCTAGAAAGTAGTGCAGTTAGGTTTTGAATCCAGAAGGTCCACCGCATGGTTCCAGGAGCTGAAGGATATGCTCAGCTGCTGCTCATGAAGTAAATATAGATACCCTGAAACCTGTTAACAACTGCACAGTAATTCACAGCATAAAAATACTAGACTTTTAACTATTAGCCTACCAACAGACATTTAGGACATTTTTAAATTATTTATAAATGTTATTGACATCTTGAAATAATGCTAATATAAACATTCTTATACAATTCCTATGCTGTTAAAATTTATGTAACATAAATTTTAAGCAGGAAATGATTCTATCAAACAATATATATACTTTTAATCTTGATAGGGAATGCCAAATTTCCTTCCAGAAGGTTGCTCCAATGGTATCAATTTATAGTCCCAACTACAGAGGAAAGGGTTCAGATTCATTTTTAAGTTAACACTTTGGATTCATGAAAAAAAAGGCCCATTTTGAGTTTTTAATTAATACTGAATAGACTGCCAAGTTGATCACAATTATGTTCTGATTTTATAATTATCTGACATATTAAACAAATGTAGACTTAGCAGCTGTGCAATGGATTCTTCTCCCAGTTATGAAATCAACTATGCATGAGATATCGCCCCTATACAACCTTCTGTTTTCTTATGTATAAAATATGGGAATTGGACTAGCTGGCCTTGAAGAATTTAAACTCCCAATACTGAGATTAAGAAGTGACTTAAAGTTATTACAAGGCTATAATTATAGTACTAGTATAACAGGTTAGGGTCTTAAAGTTTATATTTTCTTTAAATTACCGTAACCTGTTGCCAGAGCACCTAGGCAAATCATTAAAATAGTAAATGAAGTTTCCACTGTGGCTTATTCCCAGTGGCTTTTTAATCCCAGGCTGTCATTCCCTTGCTACCCAGCAAATCTGAGCATATCTCTGGAATATATTCCCAAGAGTTGAGGTGTGCTTAGGAACTAAGAACTAGTCTTTTGTTTTGTTTTGCATTTAAAATATTATTCTGGGACTATTCTTTAGTCAATTTCTTCAATTAGTATTTATTGACTATGTTACCATATGCTAGGCACTGGGTGCATAATAGTGATTAAAGGATCTCTGCCATCATGGAACTTACAGACCAGATGAGAAAGGCAAAGAATAACTCAAAATAACCACAAGTAAATGTAAAATCACACTTATGATAACAATGAACAACAACAACAACAAATCAATACAGAAAAAAATACTATGCAATCTGATGATTTTTTTACACTATAACACTAAAATTTGCCTCATGTTGCAAAAATAACAATCACAATTATATGCAGAGAATTAACTTTTTAAATCATCAGTTGTCTCAACAATAAAATCATCAAGATATTACTACTTTTCAGTTATGTTACTGATCATGTGGCTTGAATGTTTGTTTTACATAACTAAGAGTATAAATGACTGAAAGAATAAAGATGACAGAACTGAGTATCCAAAGTGAAAGATAATAAATGAACTACACTTTAATAATCTTGTTCAAGCAAAAAGTATATACATAAAGAAGTAAGTGATCCATCATAATTCATGACTTGTCAATAATTAACAAAACGTTATAAAAATACTAATGTTTTTAAAGAACTGACGATCATCAGCATAAGGGGCAAGTGGCATGTAAAAAGGAACAAAAATAGAATAATTTTTTAATATTTTAAAATAACACCAAATGCCAGAGCACCTATATTAATATTTAGTTTAAAATAAAAATAATTCCACATTATCTGCAGAAATGAGAGGCATTCACATAAATGATCTTCCTTGTGTGTCAGTTTCCACGACTGCAAAATAAGGATATCTGCCATACCTACTTCACAAGATCACTGTGAAAACTAAATAAAATAATGTATATAGAAGCACACCAAAAACTGATGTCAGTTATTTTAGACTTCTTTTTTGCTCCCACTATAAATTATAGCAATTTAACAAATAAAATTGATTATAGCAGTACTTCATCTCCTTTCTTCTGCTCATATATGGTAGAAGTGTTATAAAATGGGCAAAAGACTGACAATCAGAAGCAGAAGGAAAAAATCCAAAAACTTTATAATTCATAAATTGATTGCCCCACAGAAGGTTGGCTGTTTAAGTATTAACGCTCTTACATGACACACACACCAATTTATCTCAGAAAATCAAAGAAATATGTTCACATACGTATGAAATTTTTTACATATACAACTTGCCATCTCTACATACACAAAATTTTGCTACTGAGGATGAAGAGATACAGAGATACACATGTATTTATCCACATATACAATGTATTCTAGCTTGAAGTTTATTTTCAGATTACAGTATCTTAAATTTAATGCACTGACAGTTCAAATGATTCAGATTTATTTCATTACATTAAATAAAATTTGTCAATTTAGCACACCGAAACTAATTATTATACGCCCATGGCTTTGAAGCAACTTCCAGCATGGGTCTAACAATCCCTCAAAGTCACAATTCCATGTCATTAGCAGTGCATTTCCTTGTTTAAAAACAATATATTAAACGAAGAAATTTTCAGAATGGAGGGCAACTTTTAGTATTTTATCATTGTTTCTACAGAACTTTTCAGATTGTTACTAGCTCTGCCAAAGATAGTCTTTCTTTTAAAACTCTTCAAATACAGGGCAGGAGGTATCGTTAACATGGCAACAATAACGACTTCCCCAAATTCAAAACAAGGATCACCATCAAAACAAAACAATCAGGTGGAGTACATGGATATTGATCACTATTTCTGACAACCTGTTTTTTCCCATATGAAGGATTTGCTACTGCATTAAAACATTAAAATCTATGCCTATGTGCAACTTTCTATCTGAATATTTAAAATCCAGGCAAATTCCAATTCATATCTTGTGACATTAGCTAAATATTACTTAGCATGTTGAGCTGCATTTAAAAGGCAGAGGAAAATACTGACAACTTCCAAAACATAAAGCCTTTTAAATCTTTCCCCAAATTATCTGTGAATAAACTACCTTCAGCAGCCGCTAGACTAGAGTAGATCAAAGTTTTCCCTATACTTGAGAATGTGATCCCCACTGAAAAGGAACAGAAACTGATCATCCCTGCCACTGGAGCCAGTCCCCGGAATCTCCCCAAATACGCCTGATCGCCAGATGAAGAAGGGACACTTCTCCGGGCAGCAAAGGCTAGAGGTATCTTACCTCTGCAGGCTAGAGGAGGGGTGGAGGAGGCGGGAGGACACTGGCACGTAAGGAAGGAAATTCCGTCTTCAGCAGGCACTGGTGGGACCCGAAACCTAGGTCCCCGAAAAGCCTCAGAACCCAGGGAGGTTCCCCGAGGGGGACGCCAAGCAGGGCCAAGACTCTCCGCGCCCGGCCCCGCCTCTCTTGCCGCCACCGGGGACCCGGGACCGCGGACAGAGACAGTTGAGGCTGAGCGAGACTCCGCGGTCCCAGCCAGGTCCTACAGGAGCTCACCTGAGAGTGTCGCCTCCGCCCTCGGCTACCACGGTGCATCCCGCGGAGCCTGGCGGAGGGTGCAGTGACGCCGCCCCGACCGGCCCCAGGGCTGCCCGGCCTGGCCTCCCCGCTCCGGGGACGCACCGGGTGCCCTCCTCGCACCGGCTCCGGGGATCCGCCGGTCCGCTGGGAAGGAAGACAAGGCGGAAAGGCTGCCTCCCCTCCCTCAGGGCAAGCCACCCCCCGAGCTGCGGCTCCCTGCAGTTCTCTCTGGCGCAGGTCTGGCCCCGCTCCCCGGCCCGGGAGTCACTTCGTCAGGGGCGGCCCAGTCGCCATTACAGCCCAACAACTGACACGGAGGAGGAGCGGCGCCAGCGGCAGCGGCTGTGGCGGCGGCGCGAGGCAGGGCGGGAGCAGTCGGGCCCAGGCAAACCTCGCGAGAACTGTCCCGAGACAGTGCCACAGGCATGCCAACCTTCGGTTAGGGCCATGTTGAGTGTGGCCGAAAGGTGGGAGCGAAATAAAACAAGGAGCAGAACCGCGAAGAAGCCATGTTTGGTGCGTCGAAGTTTAAACTCGTAGGACTTGGGAGGAGCCAAGGTATATCCGCAGAAGAGACCACCCCTGCCCTTTCGCTTTGACGCTCATTGGGCCTTTTGGCTGCGCATTTCACCCCGGGCTGAGAAAACAAGCTGGGGATTCGACAAGAATGAACTCAAAGTCTGGAAACGGCAGCTTCTGAGAGTTTACAATGTTTCACCAACTGTCGTCCAAATAAGTCGTCACCCCTGTCAGAGTAGTTGCAGCTCTGCCGTTACCCACTGCTGTCACTGTGGCCGTTTTATTCGCGAGGGTTACAGTTCTGTTTAGCATGCATCTAATGACTTAAGACTCCACGCAAGTAAAACGGAGTTTCCTCCCATTAAGTATTGGCTTTGCTTTAACAGTGCTTTGAGAGGCTCTCTGTGGCCAACATATCTTCTCATATCTTTGTCCTCGTTTCCCAATCTCCGCGTGGTGAAATCATCTATCAAGACTTGGCTTAAAGGACCTCTCTTCTGCAAATAATGCCATCTTCCGCTAGGTGCTCACTGCACACAGACTCGCCGCCCACCACTTCTGTCCACCTTCTGAACTCCGATAGTTATTTACCCAGAGACTGTTTCTCATCTTTAAGTGTCGTGAAGACTTTAAGATCTGTTTTATCTCTCTATACCCCAAAATGGCCTAGCACAGTAACTAGGACATTGTAGGTGCTCAATAAATGTTTGTCGAATATCAATGACAGCAGGAGGCAGTAAATGGTCCCTCTTTGTAGGGCCTACAGCTGTGCCTGAGTAGGATGTACAGAAGTCCTGCATACGTGTGAAGTGTCTCCAGGAAGCTGCACTGGAGGGGACAGGAAATGTGGGTAATCGTATGGTGCAAGTGGTAGCAAAAAAGACAACATAAGGAAAATGTTATTTAGGTTTTGCCCAGTCTTGCTGTTTAAAGCCCTGTGTTAGATGCTTTTCATGCGCTATTTTACTGAATGTAAACAACCACCTTATTAAATATACTCACTTTTTTAAAACGAAGAAACACGTACTGGCCGGTCACAGTGGCTCACGCCTGTAATCTCAGCACTTTGCGGGGCCGAGGCGGGTGGATCACGAGGTCAGGAGTACAAGACCAGCCTGGCCAAGATGGTGAAACCCCGTCTCTACTAAAAATACAAAAATTAGCCGGGCGTGGTGGCGGGTGCCTGTAATCCCAGCTACTCGGGAGGCGGAGGCAGGAGTATCGCTTGAACCTGCGAGGCGGAGGTTGCAGTGAGCCGGGATCGCACCACTGCACTCCAGCCTGGGCAACAGAGTGAGACTCCATCTCAAAAAAATAAAAAAAAAGAAAGAAAGAAAGAAAAAGAAACAAGTACTGAAAAAGCTAAGTAATTTGCCCAATTTTATACCATCAATAAAAGGGAGCTGTAAGCTTTGGGATCTGCTTTGCCCCAAAGCCTGTTTATACTTTTTCAGCCCCATGCTATCCCCTTGACAACAGAGAAGACACCAAAGTTCTGTCACTGTGCTCAGAGCAGGGTTACCCTGGTATCAGCCTATGCACAATTTCTACTTCTTATACCTTGTGTTGGTCTGTCTTCTCCTCGCCTCCTAAATTCCCCAAGCACATCAATGTCTTTCTTTTCTAATATCCCGTTACTCTTGTGTTTACCCTACAGATTGGCCCTGAATCTATCAAGTTTTGTACTAGTTGCATATAGTTTCATGAGAGTAATTAATCTCTGGAACAAGATTGGAGGTTTACTGTGGAAAGGTTTGTGGCCCTTCCCAGACGTCTCCGCAGTGTTAGGCCGGTAATAGGTATTCAATATGGCTCCCTTGTTTCTCCTACTTTTTAGTAGACACTAAGATTGCATTTTTCTTTATATTCTTTGTTGATTACTGTGGCCTTGACTCTCACCACTCTTTGGATAACTGGATCTTGGCCCTAGACTAAATCTCCAATTACCCGTTACCCATCTTCACATAGATACAGAAGTCACCAGCACCTTCAGCTCCCATATTAAGGTTATCATTTTTCCTCCCTCAGTCTCACAAAGCCAGCTCCTCCTCGTTTCCTCTGTATTTCTGTTCATGGCCGTCACAGAACACTCTTCTGAGAACTAAGAGAACCAAAGTTTCAGAAATATTATATACTCCTCTGTACGCCTTGCTCCCACCCAGTTATGAAGTCTCTAAATACCACTGATGCATATTTCTTATATGTACTTCCCTTTTGTCTGATTGCACCACTGCCTTCCTAATTTAGACTGTCATTTCTACTGCCCAAATGATTATAGTAGTATTTCCACAGTTCAGCTTGAGTTTTGTCTCTATCATGTCTCTACCTGCCAAGGTAAGTAAAAACTTTTCGCCTCAGCCATCAAGGCTTTTCTCAGTATGGCACCAACCTAACTTTCCATCTCCCTTAAGTAAGACAGCACAATAAAGTAGAAAGGGCAGGAATGTGACATCAGAAAGACACTTATTCAAATCTTGGCTCTATCACTTACTTGCCTTATGACCCCTCAAGAACCTCAATCTTCTTGTCTATATCAAGGCTAATGATATCTACCCTGTAGGGTTGTCTTAAAGATTAGAAATAATACCTGTCAAGAGCTTGACGTTAAAAGACAGAAATAAACGGTAGCTAATGTCACGAAATGGGAAGTGATACACTGACTGAGAATGTTACATTCAAGCCACACTGGATCGGAGAAACAACCTGTTCATTCCTACCTCTAGGCCTTTGTTTCCTAACCTGGAACACATATTACCCCAGCTCGCAATTTCTGCCACATTCTCTAAGTGCCAACTGAGAAGCTAACTACTACAGAAAAAAATCCTTGATTGCTCATACTTTCCAGGTGCTCTTCCACCCCTGAACTGTGTGATGCTGTGTCTCCTGCATAGAGCGGTATCTACTATCAGTATTTCTGCATGTATCTTATACATCATGATCATGTTAGATTCTAAGGACCTTTGTCTCCTTCATAGTGGATTAAAAGCATGAATTCTGCACATAGTGAATGACATCATTACATCGCCAAAGCTATATCTATTTCTTAATTCGTTGTCTAGAGATCAATATCAAATTTTGCATTCCCAGGAAAGAAAACATAGCTATTCACCTAGAATTTAAATTCTGGGTTTAAACCTTGGCTGAGGCCGGGTGCGGTGGCTCACCCCTATAATCCCAGCACTTTGGGAGGCCAGGGTGGGTGGATCAGTTGAAGGCAGGAGTTCGACACCAGACTGGCCAACATAATGAAACCCCATCTCTACCAAAAATACGAAAAATTAGCCGGGCATGGTGGTGAACGCCTGTAGTCCCAGCTACTTGGCAGGCTGAGGCATGAGAATCAGTTGAACCCAGGAGGCAGAGGATACAGCGAGCCAAGATTGCACCACTGCATTCTGGCCTGGGTGATGGAGTGAGACTCTGTCTCAAATAAATAAATAAATAAAGCCTGGCTGAGCTACTTACTAGCCATATAACTTTGGTCAGGGTACTTAACCTCTTCGTGACTCAGTTTCCACTTCTGTATAGTGGAGATTGCAATGGTACCTACCTCACTGGGTTGTGTAAGAAAAGAAATAACACATGTAGAGGAATATAAAATGTGTTCAGAATATACAAATATATAGAGACAGAAGGTAGATAAGTGATTGCCTGGGGCAGAGAAGTGGAATAGACATAGGGGAGGGGAGGAGAAATGGGAAATGACTACTAGTGGTTATGGAGTTTCCTTTTATTTTGAGAGGGAGTCTCGCTCTGTCGCCCAGGCTGGAGTGCAATGGCATGATCTCAGCTCACTGCAACTTCTGCCCCCCAGGTTCAAGCGATTCTTCCGCTTCAGCTTCCTGAGTAGCTGGGATTACATGCTATCCGCCATCATGCCCTACGAATTTTTGTATTTTTGTAGAGACGAGGTTTCACCATGTTGTCCAGGCTGGTCTTGAATTCCTGACCTCAGGTAATCTGCCCACCTCAGCCTCCCAAAGTGCTGGGATTACAGGCATGAGCCACTGTGCCTGGCCTTTTTCTTTTCTTCTTACAGAGTTTCGCTCTTGTTGCCCAGGCTGGAGTGCAATGGTGCGATCTCGGCTCACTGCAACCTCTGCCTCCTGGGTTCAAGTTATTCTCCTGCCTCAGCCTCCCATGTAGCTGGGATTACAGGCATGCGCCACCACACCCAGCTAATTTTGTATTTTTAGTAGAGATGGGGTTTCTCCATGTTGGTCACGCTGGTCTCGAACTCCCAACCTCAGGTGATCCGCCTGCCTCAGCCTCCCAAAGTGCTGGGATTACAGGCGTGAGCCACTGTGCCCGGCCCCAGAGTTTCTTTTTTATGCGATGAAAATGTTCTAAAATTGATAGTGGCAACAGTTGCACAACTCTGTGAACATACTAAGACCCATTCAATTGTATGCTTTAAATAGGTGAATTGTATGATATGTGAAGTATATATCCATAAAGCTGTGTTGAAAAAGAAATAACACATGTGAAGGACATATAGTTGGCACATAATAGGTGCTCAAAAATGTTGCTTATTTTTACTATTTTTAATACACTGTATTAGTGCCTTGCATATAATTAGGTATTCAATATTTGTTGAATTAAATTTATTTGTTGAATTTAGATTCTAGGTGAATAGTGATGTTTTCTTTCCTGGGAATGCAAAATTTGATATTAATCTCTAGACAACAAACTAAGAAATGGAAAGATACAGCTTTGGTGCTGTAATGATGTCATTCACTATTTGTAGTTAATTGAATAAAAATATGTGTCAGGATTAACTAAAGGCATTCCTAAGGAAATGTCAAGCCTAGATGCCAAGTCTGATCTGTAATCTTGTCCACCATCTTTTCAATAATAAATTCAACCATAACAAATCTCCCTTTCATTTTAACAAACTATGCAGATACCAAGTTTAGGGGTAGGTTTTCTGGTTACTTTTATTTTTTCTAGAGTTGGTCTTTTGGCTTAGTCTTGTACTTTTCTAGGGGATTTGTTATTCTGCTGGGCAGAATTAAGAAAAAACTGAAATTTATCAAAAATAAATGTCTTTGATAAGAAAATAGGCATAACCATCTATCTTCATGTATATAAATATTTGTGTGTATATATGTGAGTATGTGTACATGAGCATACAGCAAAGGAAATATTGATTATAGAAACCTCTGTGATATCAAATCCAGAATGCAAAAAAAAAAAAATAGGCATATCTACAAAGGCAGCATTTAACCGTATTTGACTACAATTGAAAGTTAAAAATTGAAATTTTTGAGTGAGGTCCGAAAACAAACTGATAGCAGCAACCAGAGTAAGTTGTGAGACAGGAGCACAAGATGCACATTTTAATTATTTTTATTTTTTAGAGTAGGTCTTACTCTGTCACCCAGGCTGGAGTGCAGCGGCACGATCACAGCTCACTGCAGTCTCAACCTCTGGGGCTCAGGTGATCCTCCTACCTCAGTCTCCCCAGTAGCTGGGACTACATGCACAACGCCTGGCAAATTTTTGTATTTTTGCATTTTTGCAGAGACAAGGTCTTGCCATGTTGCCCAGGCTGGTCAGGATGCACTTTTTTTTTCTTTGATACAGAGTCTCGCTCTGTTGCCCAGGCTGGAGTGCAGTGGCGTGATCTCAACTCACTGCAACCTCCGCCTCCCGGGTTCAAGCGATTCTCCTGCCTCAGCCTCCCGAGTAGCTGGAATTACAGGTGCACACCATCACACCTGGCAAATTTTTGTATTATTACTAGAGATAGGGTTTCACCATGTTGGCCAGGCTGGTCTCAAGCTCCTGATCTCAAGTGATGTGCCTGCCTTGACCTCCCAAAGTGCTGGGATTACAGGCATGAACCACTGCGCCCGGTCCTTAAGATGCACATTTTAAGAGGAGATATATGAGACAAAGTATGTGATTCTTGAACCCCCTCATGCAAGACCCTTCCACCTGGTCACTGATATGAAAGGATGGAGAAATTGTAGATTCAAAGGGTTTGACAGGAAGATTTCTTTGGATAGGCAGTGGGGTGCAGAGGTGGCTTCTTCCTTACCTCAAGCTCGTAGTAGGGGCATTGAGAAGACAATATGGAGAGCTTGATGCGTGGGCCAAAATCTGAAAGGCAGAGTAGCCTGTGGCTGGATTCAGGCCTGAAAAAGGCATAGCAACCTTGACAGCAGAGTAGAGGATGGTGGCAGGGAAGGTAAGTGTTGCTGCTCTAAAATGGGAGTTAGGCCAGGTGCAGTGGCTCATGCCTGTAATCCCAACACTTTAGGAGGCCGAGGTGGGCAGATCACTTGAGCCCAGAGTTCGAGACCAGCCTGGGCAACATGATGAAACTTTGTCTCTACAAAAAATTAGCTGGGCTTGGTGGCACAGGACTGTAGTCCCAGCTACTCAAGAGGCTGAGGTGGGGATATCACTTGAGCCGAGGAGGTCGAAGCTGCAGTGAGTCATGATCGTGCCACCACACTCCAGCCTGGGTGACAGAGTGAGACCCTGTCTCAAAAAAAAAAAAAAAAAAAGAATAGGCATTTTCCTAAAGAAAAGAAGAAGAAGGAGGAGGAGTAAATTAAAATCCCAGCACTTTGAAGTCCAAGGTGGATGGATCACCTAAGGTCGGGAGTTCAAGACCAGCCTAGCCAACATGGCAAAACCCTGTCTCTACTAAAAATACAAAAATTAGCTGGGCATGATTGTGGGTGCCTATAATCAGCTACTCAGGAGGCTGAGGCAGGAGAATTGCTTAAACCTAGAAGGTGGAGGTTGCAGTGAGCCAAGATCACACCACTGAACTCTAGCCTGGGCGACAGGGCCAGACTCTGTCTCAAAAAAATAAAATAAAATAAAATGGAAGGGATCCCCCTAAGGAGGCAGCCTACCAGCTTGAGTGGACCCCAGAGAAAGAGGAATATTTGGCTACAGGACACTGGGAGTGGCCACCCAAAGGGGAGGCAATATACACATCCAGAGAGTTGTAGCTGCAGAGGCTGAGCAGGAGAATCCTTAAAGAACCCAGGACCTCTAAGAGAAACAATGGGCTTTACCTATCTACCAAGCCTGGGGTAAAGCCACCTTACAACAGTACCAGTCACGTAAGAATGTTCTTGTATCCCTTACGGCTCTTCCCTGACTCCTCAGTTCCCTGCCTTCCACCCTGGGCAGGGTAGGAATAATAATTAGCAAACCTGAGGAAACGGATATACTCCAGACAGGAAAGGAGAAAAGAAGGACCACGCCTCACTTCATGGAAGGAGGCAGCACTAATGCAGGAAGTCCTAGATCAAAACGGATAGAAGTTGTACCTTTGAGTAAAGATTAAAATGTTGATTCATATACTGGGCTGAATATTTTATTACTAAATTAATACTGTGTTTGCAAGCTAATGTGATATAAGACTTTTATTAACTACAATGGATGAGAAAAGTCATGGGGCTTGCCTGAGTTTTTACGCAGGAGTAAAAGGAATTTCCCCACTTAGGACAGTGAGAGAACAAAATAAAGTTGCTTCTATTATTACACCCCTGAGTCTTGTTTAGTCGCATGCATGAATAATGACCTTTACCAAAGACATAACCTTTACCAAAAGGAAGGATTCTTTTTGTTTGTTTGTTTTGAGACAGGGTCTCACTCTGTTGCCCGGCCTGGGGTGCAGTGGCGCGGTCAGCTAATTTTTGTATTTCTTGTAGAGATGGGGTGTCGCCGTGTTGCCTAGGCTGGTCTTGAACTCCTGGGCTTAAGGGGTCCTCCTGCACTGGTCTCCCAAAGTGTTGGGATTACAGGTGTGAGCCACCACAACTGGCCCAAAAAGAAGGATTCTGAGAGAACCTGAGCCAGCAAAAAGTAATGGTAGAGATAGAAAAGCAGAAAGCCAGTCATAGAAGCATCAATAACATTCCACAGGCAAGAATGAAATGATAAAAGGAGAAAGAAATAGGAAAAAGAGAATTAAAAAGCAATAAGCAAACATGGTTTACCTTTGGAACATTGAATAAAAGGAAGAAATTATAAAGAAAAATTGAAAATTAGCAGCAACAGTCCAGAAAAGTTCAATGCTTATAAAAACCCTAAAAATCATTTTATTTTATTTTATCTTATCTTATCTTACTTTATTTTATTTTATGTTTTTTGAGACAGGGTCTAGCTCTGTCCTCCAGGCTGGAGAGCAGGGGCATGATCTTGGCTCACTGAAACTTCCCAGGCTCAAGCCATCCTCTCATCTAAGCCTCCTGAGTAGCTGGGACTACAGGCATGCGCCACCACACCCACCTAGTTTTTGTATTTTTTGTAGAGATGGGATATCACTTCATTGACCAGGCTTGTCTCAAACTCCTGAGCTTAAGTGGTCCACCCACCTCAGCCTCTCAAAGTGCTGGGATTACAGGCATGAGCCATTGCATCTGGCCTTATATTTTTTTGACACAGGGTTTCACTCTATGGGCCAGGCTGGAGTGGTATGACCACAGCTCACTGTAACCTCAGACTCCTTGGGCTCAAGTGATCCTCCCATCTCAGCCTCCTGAATGGCTGGGACCACAGGTACATGCCACCACACCTGGCTAATTTTTACATTTTTAGTAGAGACCAGGTCACATTGCCCAGGCTGGCCTTAAACTCTGGGCCCAAGCCATCCTTCCACCTCCACCTTCGATAGTGCTAGAATTATAGGCATGAGTGGCCACCATGCCCAGCCTAAAAACCAGTTTCTGAAAAATGGCAAGATGCTTTATATCATTAGCAATCAAGGAAAGACAAAATAAAACCATAATGAGAAGTCATTTGATACTTTTGTCAGAGTTTAAGCCAAACTTTATATCCAGATTTGCAAAAATTAAAAGGTCTGATGTTATTACATGTTGGCAAAGATGTGAAACAGTGGGAGTTTTTATTCACTTCTGAGGGCTGTGTAAGTTGGTACAATGATTTTATAAAACATTTTGGAAATATGCAGTAAAACTGAAGATATGACCATGACCCAACAATTTCATTCAAAATAGTCCACATTCTCAAACTCTTTGTTACTAGACCAATAAGATAAAGAACTCATGCAAGGATGTAAATCAACTATGTCACTAAATATACTATTTAGGGATGAGCTGACTTTTTTTTTTTTTTTGAGACGGAGTCTCACTCTGTCCCCCAGGCTGGAGTGCAGTGGCGGGATCTCGGCTCACTGCAACCTCCGCCCTCCGGGTTCACGCCATTCTCCTGCCTCAGCCTCCCCAGTAGCTGGGACTACAGGCGCCCGCCACCACGCCCAGCTAATTTTTTGTATTTTTAGTAGAGATGGGGTTTCACCGTGTTAGCCAGGATGGTCTCGATCTCCTGACCTCGTGATCTGCCCGCCTCGGCGTCCCAAAGTGCTGGGATTACAGGCGTGAGCCACCGTGCCCAGCCAAGCTGACTTTTTTTAGATAAGACTTCCTTAATGAAGGAGACAGTATGATGATATATATTTTTACACAAGCTTCTTATCTCACTGCAGACTTGGATTAAATGGTTCGCCGCCGTAAGAAACTCACCCAGGTGCACAAGGAGACAAGTACAAGGAATTTTACAGAAGCATCGTTTATAATAGCAAAAATAGGAAATAACATGTCCATCAATAAAAGAATGGGTAGTAAACTGAGGAATATTCATACAATGAAAGACCAAGAAACAGTGAAAATAAATTTAAGGATGTATCACACAAATATAATTTTTAAAAAGCAGATTGCAGGCCAGACGCGGTGGCTCACGCCTGTAATCCCACAACTTTGGGAGGCTGAGGTGGGTGGATCATCTGAGATCGGGAGTTTGAGACCAGCCTCACCAACATGGAGAAACCCTATCTCTACCAAAAATACAAAAAATTAGCTAGGCATGGTGGTGCATGCCTATAATCCCAGCTACTCGGGAGGCTGAGACAGGAGAATCACTTGAACCCAGGAGGCCGAGGTTGTGCTGAGCCGAGATCGCACCATTGCACTCCAGCCTGGGCAACAAGAGCAAAACTCCATCTCAAAAAAACAAAAAAATTAGCTGGGTGTGGTGGTGGGCGCCTGTAGTCCCAGCTACTCGGGAGGCTGAGGCAGGAGAATCGCTTGAACCCGGGAGGCGGAGGTGGCAGTGAGCCGAGATCATGCCACTGCACTCCAGCCTGGCGACAGAGCGAGACTCCGTCTCAAAAAATAAAAATAAAAAGGTTGCAGATAGATATATATAGTATGATGCCACTTCCATAAAGCTTAAAAGCATGCACAGTACTGGTATAGATTATTTAGGAACACATACAAATGTAGTAAAAGATTTTTAAGTGCTGAGGAATAAAAAATACTAAATTCAGAAAAGTGATTACCTCCTGAGGGAGCAGAAGAGATTAATATGTGGTAGGGGTGAACATAGGAAGCTTCAACTATGTTGGTAACATTTGATTTCTTAAGCTAGGTGTGGATACACAGATGATTGTATTATTATCTTTGTAGCTTTTTTATTTTCAAAATATTAAATAATAAATTTTTAAAATAAAAATAAATAATAGAAATTTTAATATACTAGTGGGGAATGGGAGAAAGAACAGCCAAGAAGGAGGCATAAAGGTTACAAGAAAATAACTTCACACAGTTGAAATGATATCCTACTGATTTGAGGCTTAAGAAACTTTTCCTCTTTGTAACCCTGGACAGACAAATACAGTTGTTATTTTTATCGAAGTTTAAGCCAAAATTTAAGAAAAAACAGCAGCAACTACCTTGAAGGTAAATTAGCAGCAGTTCCAGTAAGAAGTAACTACCCCTAGGGAACGGTAGGGCAGAATCAACTCTACCCATCCTGGCTCTAAGCTACTTTTTCTTTTATTTATTTATTTATTTATTTATTTTTGGATTTATTTTTATTTTATTTTTTTATTATACTTTAAGTTTTAGGGTACATGTACACATTGTGCAGGTTAGTTACATATGTATACATGTACCATGCTGGTGCGCTGCACCCACTAACTTGTCATCTAGCATTAAGTATATCTCCCAATGCTATCCCTCCCCCCTCCCCCCACCCCACAACAGTCCCCAGAGTGTGATATTCCCCTTCCTGTGTCCATGTGATCTCATTGTTCAATTCCCACCTATGAGTGAGAATATGCAGTGTTTGGTTTTTTGTTCTTGCGATAGTTTACTGAGAATGATGATTTCCAATTTCATCCATGTCCCTACAAAGGACGTGAACTCATCATTTTTTATGGCTGCATAGTATTCCATGGTGTATATGTGCCACATTTTCTTAATCCAGTCTATCATTGTTGGACATTTGGGTTGGTTCCAAGTCTTTGCTATTGTGAATAATGCCGCAATAAACATATGTGTGCATGTGTCTTTATAGCAGCAGGATTTATAGTCCTTTGGGTATATACCCAGTAATGGGATGGCTGGGTCAAATGGTATTTCTAGTTCTAGATCCCTGAGGAATCGCCACACTGACTTCCACAATGGTTGAACTAGTTTACAGTCCCGCCAACAGTGTAAAAGTGTTCCTATTTCTCCACATCCTCTCCAGCACCTGTGGTTTCCTGACTTTTTAATGATTGCCATTCTAACTGGTGTGAGATGGTATCTCATTGTGGTTTTGATTTGCATTTCTCTGATGGCCAGTGATGATGAGCATTTTTTCATGTGTTTTTTGGCTGCATAAGCTAAGGTACTTTTTCAAACCAGCCAAGAGATGTCATCTTCTTGCCTCAACCCATCCCCACCTCTACCTAAATTCCTACCAGGGAAAGAGGCGTGGAAAAGCAGAACAGCTGGTTCTAAGTAAAAAGAGACTCGAAGATGATGCTAACATTGTCCAAATTGGGATTCACTCAAGCCAAACAATTACATTGTCTTCGATGGCAATTTCGTTAATTGCATTCTCATTACATGTTCTTTTATAAAACAGTTTTCTAGCCTTAAGGGACACATGAAAACTTCTTAGTTTTACGTTGAACTTACTTTGTGTGACTTTAAGAAAAAAATCAAGATATTAAAATTTAGGAGAATTACGGCTGGGTGCAATGGCTCACACCTGTAATCCCAGCACTTTGGGAGGCTGAGGTGGGTGGATCACCTGAGGCCAGGAATTCGAGACCAGCCTGGGCAACATGGTGAACTCCTGTCTCTACTAAAAATGCAAAAATTAGCTGGGCCTGGTGGTTCCCAGCTGAGGCACGAGAATTGCATGAACCCGGGAGGCAGAGGTTGCAGTGAGCTGAGATTGCACCATGCACTCCAGCCTAGGCGACAAAGTGAGACACTGTCTCAAAAATAAATAAATAAATAAATAAATAAAATTTAGGGGAATTAAAAACTGGAAATTAAGTTTTTCAAGTATACATCTCTCTAATAATAAAATAACCACTTAAAGTGAAAAAAGGAAAAAAAAAGAATGATTAACTAGTAGATCCACTCTAAAAGTAGAGCATCAAGCATTAGTAACTCTAAATAAATAGAAAATATGTTTTAGAATTTGAAAACATTAGTGAGGCAGATGGTATCTTCCAAAGATGGTTGCACCAATATATTTCATCCCACATGTTTTTCTTATAATGTGATGTTGACATTTCTGCATTGAGAGATGGGGTCTGAGTTCCCTCTTCTTGAGTCTGGGTGGGCATTTGTAATGGCCTCAACCAATAGAAGACATCATAAATGGTACAATGTGACCTCAGAAGTTAAGTCATAAAAAATTCAGATTCTGCTCTGTTTTCTCTTTCTAGGGACAAATGCTTTTGGAATCCTGATCTGACATGAAAAAAGTTCACCTGAAGCTGCCATCCTGGAAGACTATGAGATGGAGATGCCCAAGAAGCCCCAGGTATTCCTAATCCCAATTGTTTAAGTCTTTCCAGTGTTAACCACCAGACATGTGATGGATTAAGGACTCCAGATTATTCCAGTTCCCAGCTGTCTTAGTCAGGGTTCTCCGGAGAAGTTATCACATGATTACAGAGGCTGGCAAGTCTGACGTCTGCAGGGTAGACCAGCAAGTCAGAGACCCATGGAAGTTGATGTTGCAGCTCAAGTCCAAAGGCAATCTGCTGGCAGAATCCTCTCTTCTGTTTCCTCAGTGTGTTTTTACTTAAGAAACTGATTGGATGAGCCCCACCCACATTATGGAGGGTAATTTACTTTACTTAAAGTTTACTTATTTAAATGTTAATCTCGTTTAAAAAATACCTTCAAAGCAACATCCACACTGGTGTTTAACCAAGTATCTGGGTCCTATGACCTTGCTAAATTGACACATAAAATTAACCATTACACCAACCATTAAGCTACCCCAGCTAACACCAACTGGAACAGCAACAAGCCGCTCCACCAAGTACGCCCAAATTGTAGAATTGTGAGCATAATAAATATTGTTATTTTAATCCACTAGCTTTCAGGATAATTTGTTATTCAGCATTAGTAGCTAGAAGTTATATTTGTAAACCATAGTCTATTTGTATATACATTTGTTGTTTCATTCCTTTTTTTTGAGACGGAGTCTCGCTCTGTCACCCAGGCTGGAGTGTAGTGGCGTCATCTTGGCTCACTGCAAACTCCGCCTCCCTGGTTCAAGTGATTCTCCTGCCTCAGCCTCCCAAGTAGCTGGGATTACAGGCACCTACCACCATGGCCAGCTAATTTTTTTTTTTTTTGTGTGTGACAGAGTTTCCACTCTTGTTGCCCAGGCTGGAGTGCAATGGCGCGATCTCGGCTCACTGCAACCTCCACCTCCCAGGTTCAAGTGATTCTTCTGCCTCAGCCTCCCACGTAGCTGGGATTACAGGCACCTGCCACCAGGCCCAGCTAATTTTATGTATTTTTAGTAGAGACAGGGTTTCACCATGTTGGCCAGGCTGGTCTCAAACTACTGACCTCAGGTGTTCCACCCCTCTCGGCCTCCCAAAGTCCTGAGATTACAGGCATGAGCCACCGCATCTAGCCTCATTCACTTTTATTTTCACATTTGTTTTGGGCAGGAAGGACATTAAAACATAATCACTAAAATTGGGAGCCAGTCAGAATGGAGCAGAATCAGAGGCCCTCCTTATTGGACTGGGTGTAAGCTCCTTGGTTGTTAGATTTTGGAAATCAGCAGCTATTTACCAATCACTGTGGAATTATGTTAATATTTAAATAACAAAACCAGTGCAGGCTAGGTATCAGCTAAGCATGAGGTATGATACCTTATTGCAGTGTTTTCAGTGGGCTTTAGCCCATTTATTTGATCATCCTAATAGCCTTAGAAGAAAAACACAGCAAGACTTTGCCTTTGGTGAGAATGCACTGGACAACCTAAGCAGAGTCTGTTTTTCACTGGGCAGATCTCCAGGTATGAGTCTATCTCAACAACATTGTGTTTGTCTCATGATGGATGCTACTCAGCCCTGAGACCGCAACTCAACTCAAAGGAATTGCCCTGAGATTTTGAGACTCTGTGGGAGGGCACATGATGGAACCTGTTGCTGATCAGATACCTAAAACACAAAACACATAAAAAATCATGTAGAATGTACCTTAAAGTTCTTTGAGTATTCAGCCATTTGGAGTGACAGATAAAATACCAGTAAGGAAACAATGTTTGTCTACCACACAGAAAAAGAGAAACTTGAAATTTGGGCTCATCAGTGGCTCAGAATCTCACTCTTCTAAATATGAAGTTAACCTGACCATTGTGAAAAGCCATAGCTTGGAACAGAAGAAACTCTAATTAAACAGAGTCTAGTAAAATTAAAACAGGGCCCTTTACCTCATTGACTTTACTTACAATCTCTTCTTGGTAAATATGAAAACAGATGGGTTCTGCTTTATTGCTAGGTAACAGTGTATTGCTATCTATGAAAGTCAAGGCATCACTCCAGGGAAAAGATCAGAGAGATCTTCAATCTACCTTGTGCCTAAATGAATTTAGCAACAAACAAGCCTAAATAAGCACAAATTCATTTTGGATGGTCTGGGAATTTATTTCATGACTTTAAAAAAGATGTTAAAATCGACACCCCAAATAATCTATAATTATAATTAACATTGATTTTGCACAAACCAGTTGCTGAGAATGAAATTCTTGTGATAAAATAGCTCAGGGTTTATAAGGGCTTAAAACTTTCATAGTTCAGTAGCAGGGTATTGTTGATCTAACCTACATCTGATTGCAAACCTTGTACTCACAATGACTTGCCCTGTGACTCTAGAATAACGAATTTAATCCCTGTGGACTTAGTATTAGCAGGAATTCTAATTTTAAGGTATGTATCTTTTTTTGAAGTATAGGATACATCTTGAAGATTTAGTGGAACTATAGGACAAACAGCTAAATCACCACCTTGTTTGAGTTATTGGTTCATAGTGGTTGGGAAAGGTAACTAGGATTTAGGAAGTACATGCTGTAATATGTAAAGATGACAAAAAAGAATAAAGATGCCCTTCACAAAGTTAGTTATTCACAATCAAAAATAAAACAACTTGTTTAATGCAGTGCTGTGCATTTAGCTGACAGTTAATAAAAACTCATTGAATGGACGGGTGAATTAATTCATCCATCAGTGAGATAAGCTAGGAGGAACTAGCTGGAAATCCAAGGCAGAACAAATCCACTTCTTAAGTATCTGGTTGTTCAGAACAAAGTAGTTTTGGGGATTAAATTACATGTCTGGAATATTGCTTCAGATCCACGTTTCACTTTTGTTGGCTAATCTCTCCTTAAGATTAGTAGTGAAGTGCTCTTGGAATAAAGCCAAGCAATGGAGTTAGTTTCTTCCTCCTTTATTTCTGGTAAGGTCAAAAGCAAACTGGGATTTAGCAAACCTGAGGCTGGCTTTAAACAAACAAACAAACAAACAAAGACTTAGAATCATAGACTCATTTACTGTAGCAATTGTGAGACAGAAACAATGGGTATATCTTAAAAGCATTATTTAAAAAAAGCATTGTTGAGTAAAAAAAAATGAAGTTGCTTAAATGATGTTTGTAGTCTGACATTTACATAAATAAAAGCCAAAATAATTCAATGTATATGTACAAATCTATAACATATATAAAAATGGTAAATTCTGGTGGTGGGGAGATGAGGCCAATTTTGATCCATTTAATTGCTATGATTTGCTTCCATTTTGTTAATGTCTTCAACAAGATTTGTGAATCAGACAGCCAATATATTTAAATCTAACTACTAAGTCTTTCCTATTTCTCTAAATTAAGTTTTATACCAGTTAAGAAAAAGAGTACTTCTGAAATGTGTTATTTGGGAATGTTTTTAAGCTTTAAAAATTATGTTTTCCTACATTTAATCTTTACAAACCTTCAAAGATTAGTTTCTTTCAATGTTGAGTATCTTCTTTAATATATTCCCAATGGGGGCTTCCTTGAAGTAGTGTAGCTAACAGGCATGGTAATCACTTTAACTATACAAAGGCAATGCCTTATTCTTAGAACACTCTTAAAAAGAAGAGTGTCTCTCTTAAGAGCATCTCTCTGTTTTGATGCTGATTTATAGCCTAATAATACAAATGAAATATGCAATGGGACATCTTATAGCAAGACAGCTGCAATTTTTTAAAAAGCTGAAGGATATGTCAGAATGAGGTTATATGTAATCAAACCAGGTTATATTTTACAAGGGATGAATCACCCTATTTACAGGCAGTGGAAAGTTTTAAACTTTTGACAGGAGATTTTCTGTGGTCCTTCCAAAAACAGAAAAAGGCAGCTGGGTGCCCAGCCTGGAAGAAGACCCTCAGGTTTTAGTGAGACTCACTGACTACTAAAAACACTCCTGGAATCCCAGGACTGAGTGCACCCACCTGTTGAAAAAGGAATGAGAATCTGTGAGCATTTGGTTACAAATCCTACTGCATTAACAGAAAGCCCACAAAATATTATAAAGGGGAAAAAGCAGCTGAAAAACTGTCAGGCAGAAATAAGAGTAATAATGAAGTGGTAGCTGGTTTTGGAAATATATGTGATTACATGTATTATTAAGCAGGAATTGAAAAACATTCTAACATACACTGATCATGTATTAAATGTGTATATATTCTAATTTTCATTATATATATAAATGGTTATAACATATGTATTCTATATAACACATATATGACAAACACTTGTATAACCTCTAATAACCTCAATACTTTCATATATTTTGTCTTGTTTAATTCTTATCAAACTCTATGATATATTACCATCAGTCCTCTTTCACAGATAAGGAAATTTATTGGAAAGGTGAAATGATTTGCTTATGGTCACAAGGTTGGAGAAGTGGTATAGCTAGAATTTGAACCTCCCTTTTCTGAATCCAGAATGTATAACTATTCCATTACACCACGTGGCTGTGCAAAGCCATTCTAAGAAAGACTGCCTGCATGTCCTATAAACTTCCATGTACAAAAATCAAGGACTTGCCTTGAACCCTTGAACTGGGCCAAACTGTACACTGCCAACCACAACATCCTGGAAAATATTGATGTTGTCCCATAGATCCCATATACTTTGTTCATTCCTTTTCATTTCTTTTTTCTACTCTGACTATATTTTCAAATAGTCTGTCTTCAAGCTCACTGATTCTTCTGTTCGATCAATTCTGCTGTTGATGCTTTCTATTGCATTTTTCATCTATTGTAATTTGTAGTTCCAGGATTCCCGCTTAATTTTTGTGTTTATTGTTTCAATCTCTTTGTTAAACTTCACTGATACATTTCTGAATGGATTCTCAATGTTTTCTTGAAGTTCATTGAACTTCCTTAAAACAGCTATTTTGAATTTTTTGTCGGAGAATTACACATCTCCATCACTTTAGGGTCAATCTCTGGCACCTTATTTTGTCTGTTTGGTGAGGTCATATTTCCCTGAATGCTCTTGATGCCTATGTAGATGCAATGATGTCTGCACATTGAAGTATTAGGTATTTATTTCAGTCTTCACGGTCTGGCTTTATCTGTGCCTGTTCTTCTTCAGAGGTCCTTCCAGGGATTCTAAGCAGACTGACTGATATGTTCCCTTAGGCTGTGATTACTGCAGCTGTCCCAGCACTAGAAGAGACTCTGAGCCCAGGCTTGCCATTAGTCTCATGAGGACTCCAAGGTTGATGGGGCTTTCCAGATGGACCTGGAGAAGATCCAAGGAGGGTACTGGGACTGTGTGGGAACACTGACAAGGGACCTGGATCCAGAAGACTATGTCCCAGTGGCCCAGCAGATCTTTGCATAGACAAGATGAGTCCCCAGTTGCAGTGAAAGAGGCCATTTCCCCATAGCATTTTGACTTGGGGAACTCCAGGGCCCTTATCAGTTTCTGTTAGTCCCTTCAGCTCTCATTCACTTAATTGGCTGAAATTTTCTTGGAAGCCCACAAAGCTCGAATTTCTTTCTTCCAAAAGGGGGAAATGCAATTACTACTGGAAAAAAACTACTATAGAGGGAACCCTCAAGGAACTCACTGTACTTTCCATCTCTATATTTTCAGTTCTTGAAAACAAGGAGAAAGTATCACCTAGTGAAACATTTCAAGACCTACTAACCTCTCTACTCTGAAAACTTATGGTCCAAATGCACCACAGATATTGACTGTTTTCATTCAGCACAACCAATTAACATACAAATAGATGAAACAAAAAGACTTCCAAACATTAAACAATTTGATTCCCTTATACTAGGAAGCCATTCAGGGAATCAAACCAATTTTTGAGGACTACCTCAAGCAGGGACTAATTATTCCATGCACTAGCCCAGGTAATACCCCCATTCTATGAGTACAAAAACCTAATAACCAGGGATGGAGATCTGTCCTGGACTTAGAAGCCATCAATAACATTTTAATACTCCATTATCTTGTTGTACCTAGCCTGCATACATTACTATCCGCCATACCACCAGGTAGTCAGGTTTTCACTGTGATTGACCTCTGCAGTGCTTTTTTTTCTTTTTTCTTTTTTTTTTTTAATCATCCTTGTTGATCCAGCTAGCCAGTATCTTTTTGCCTTAACACGGAAAGGACAACAATATACCTGGACAGTAATGCCTCTGGGGTATGCTGATAGTCCCAAATACTTCTCCCAAGTCTTAAAAACAGACATAGCAGATTTGGCACTTCCTTTGCATTCTGTTCTCATAAAATATGTGGATGACTTATTACTTTGTTCCTTTACCTTAAAGGCTTCCATAGAGGACAGCCACTGTCTATTAAAGAAAGTAGCCACTAAAAGCCATAAAGCTTCAAAAGAGAAGCTACAACTTTCTCTCTCACAAGTGAAATATTTAGGACATCTAATTTCAGGACAGGGTCTTTTGCTCGATCCCCAAAGAATAAAATCAATCTTGGGCCGGGCGTGGTGGCTCATGCCTCTAATCCCAGCACTTTGGGAGGCCGAGGTAGGCAGATCACAAGGTCAGGTGATCAAGACCATCTTGGCTAACACAGTGAAACCACGTCTCTACTAAAACAACAACAACAACAAAAAAAATTTACCTGGGCATGGTGTCATGTGCCTGTAGTCCCAGCTACTCAGGAGGCTGAGGCAGGAGAATTGCTTGAGCCTGGGAGGAGGAGGTTGCAGGGAGCCGACATTGCGCCACTGCACTCCAGCCTGGGTGACAGAGTGAGACTCTATCTCCAAAAAAAAAATCAATCTTGGCTTTTCCTGTTCCCATGACCAAAAGACAACTCTCTGAGTTCTTGAGATTAACAGAGCACTAGATAATGAATCTCAAATTTCTCTGCCATGGCTCAGATTCTGTATTACCTCCTAAAAACGGGCCACTTTGAACCCCTACAGTGGCCTGAGAAGCCTTCTCCTCTTTTGAAAATACTGAGGAGAATCTTCTTGGGCCCCCTGCATTAGGGCATTCTAGAGTCTCCCCCTTTCCGTTTTTGTTCATGAACAAAATGAAAATGGCTTAGGGGTTTTTACCTGAAGGCATGGAGACCATCAGTCCCCTCAAATATTATAGCCAACAGGTCCTGGGGCAACATGACTCCTATCCTATATGTGAGCTATCATAGCCACTGCAAATTTATTAAGTGCGATCAAATAATTAATGATAGGATCTCCATTAATTTCAATCCATACCTCCAACGACTCACTGCTAGCAGACTCACTTCTTATAGATCCTATTATTATCATCCCTCTAATGTAACTATTGATTGCTGTAACTCTTTGAATCCTGCCACCTTATCTCTTCTTCCTTCTGACGAGACACCACATGACTATATAACACTAACCCCCAGAAAAAACCTATAGGAAGTCCCCATTCCAAATGCTGAATTTGTCTGGTTTACTGATGGATTCTACCTTGAAATACCTCAGGGAAATGTCAAGCTGGCTATGCTGTTGTCTCACTGTCTGAAACCATTGAAAGTGGTTCCCTACCCAAGACTACTTCTGCACAGCAGACAGAACTCTTTGCTCTCTCCTAAGTATCCTGGCAATTAATAAGACTGCAAATACCTATACTGATAGACACTGTGCTTCTGGGGTCAAACGTGATTTTGTTATGCTCTGGAAACAAAGATTTTCTGAACTCTACTGGCCAAAAGATTAAAAAAAACAGTGACTATGTCCTGAAATTACTTGATGCTACCTAAAAACCTAAATCTTTAGCAATAATTAAAATTCCATGACACACAAAAAAAAAACTGATTCTAAAGAAGGTAAAGGAAATGACTTGACTGACAGAGCTGCAAAAGCTGCAGCTTCTATGAACCAACCACCCAAACTCAATACTCCTTCAGATCCTCTAATGGCCAATGCAATATAATCAAGACCTGTATCCACAATGCATGACAGCCCCCAAATTGAAAAAAAGATAGGAAAACTGAAGAATGTTTTCATGACTCTAAAACCAGCTGTGATGGTTAACATTAATATTAGGTGTCAACTTGATTGAATTGAAAGATGCTTAGGTAGCTGGTAAAGTATTGTTTTTGAGTGTGTTTGTGAGGGTGTCGCCAGAGGAGACTGACATTTGAGTAGGTAGACTGGGAGAGGAAGACCCACCCTCAATGTAGGTGGGCACCATCCAGTTGGCTGCCAGCATGGCTAGAACAAAGCAGGTGGAAAAAAGTGGGATAAGCTGGCTTGCTGAGTCTTCTGGGTTTCATCTTTCTCCCATGATGGATGCTTCCCTCTGTTCCCCCTGCCCTTGGACATCAGACTTCAGGTTCTTTGGCCTTTGGATTCTTGGACTTACACCAGTGGTTTTCTGGTGGCTCTTGGACCTTTGGCCACAGACTGAAGGCTGCACTGTCAGCTTCTTTGCTTTTGAGGCTTTTGGACTCAGACTGAGCCACTACTGGCTTCTTTCTTCCCCAGCTTGCACACGGCCTGTAGTGGGACTTCGACTTGTGATTGTGTGAGCCAGTTCTTCCTAATAAACTCCCTTTCATACATCCTCTGGAGAACCATGAGTAATACACCAGCCTATAGCATGGGCTCCATAAGAGATCAGTCTTGCCAGGGGGCCTCCAAGATCAAATTTTAGATTATATTAATCACTTAACCCATTGGGGATAAAATGATAATATTATTGGAAACCCTCCCCAAAGGTTGCTTCTCAAGTTTAGCAAAGTTTAGCAAAGATCCCAAGTCTGTCCCAAATACAACCCTAGAAAACATATTCATAGTTCCATAGGGTGTTTTCCTTTAGCTTCAGGATCTTTTGAGATATGACAGATGGATTTTATCTAGCTACTACCATCTCAATGATATAAATTTGTTTTGGTTATGATTTATATGTTTTCCCACTGGGTGGAAGCCTTTCCCCATTGCAGACTAACAGCCTAAGCAGTAAGTTAAATCTTATTAGGAAAAAATAATCCCCATATGGGGTGTACCCTCAGAACTGTACAGTGACGAAGGCACTCATTTTGCTAGGCAGAATATAAAATCAATATGTAAAATTTTGCCTATTCTGCATTTCCACTGTGGCCACCACTGACAGTCCTCTTGATTAGTGGAACATACTGATGGAACAATTAAGACTCAATCGGCGCCAGGCACGGTGGCTCACGCCTGTAATCCCAGCACTTTGGGAGGTCGAGGCGGGCAGATCATGAGATCAGGAGATCGAGACCATCCTGGCTAACACAGTGAAACCCTGTCTCTACTAAAAATACAAAAAAAAAAAAAAAAAAGATTAGCCGGGCGTGGTGGCGGGCACCTGTGGTCCCAGCTACTCAGGAGGCTGAGGCAGGAGAATGGCGTGAACCGAGGAGGTGGAGCTTGCAGTGAGCCAAGATTGTGCCACTGCACTCCAGCCTGGGCGACAGAGCGAGACTCCGTCTCAAAAAAAAAAAAAAAGGACTCAATTGGCAAAATTAGTTGAATCTTTCAGTCTGTACTGGCCAAAAGTTTTGCCCTTGGTGCTGTTTAATCTTAGACCTACCCCTTTTGGAAAACATTGGTTATCCCCATTTGAGATAATTACTGGAAGACCCATGCACTTTATGAATCAAATCTAATCAAAGGTCACGTGCTCACCTACTGTAAGGAACTGGTCCAGGTGTTATAAAAAAATTTGTTTTTCAAGGCTAAGTCTCCTGAACGGACATCTCAATCTGATGGTTATCTGAAATTAAAATTTACCAGGAACCACTCTGCTGCTCAGTCTTGGAATAAGAAGCAGGCAACGTGAGAAGCTGACAGCTGGCCCAAGTGTCTGGCCCCTGCCTGTATAAGACTCCAAAATATTACTCACTCTTTATTACCCTTGTTCTAATTTTTATCCTAATTATAGAACTACTTTATCTGTCATTGAAAGTCTACAAGGACCACAACAACATGTGCCAATCCTTGTACTTCTGCCAAAATAAATTTCTTTTCTTTCTTTTTTTTTTTTTTTAGACAGAATCTCACTCTTTCGCCTAGGCTGGAGTGCAGTGGCATAATCACAGCTTACTGCAGCCTTGAACTGGGCTCCAGCAATCCTCCTGCCTCAGCTTCTTGAGGAGTTGAGACTACAGGTGCACACCACCACACCTGGCTAACTTTTAAACCTTTTGTAGAGACAGGGTCTCACTATGTTGCCCAGGCTGGTCTCAAACTCCTGAGCTCAATCTGCCTGCCTCGGCCTCCCAAAGTGCTGGGATTACAGGCGTTCACCATCATGCTCAACCTTTAAAATGGGTTTTCCTAAATAATTTAAACCTCACATGAATACCTTTTCAAACCTGGGAGAACTTATTTTTAAATCACCTCTTAAATTTTTCCCCCCAAAAAGCAACAATGGCTTACAACAAAAATATTTCACTGAATTGTTTACAGAAGATAATCCATTTTCTAAGTATATTAACAAAATTTACAATTTATTAATTTTAATAAAAATTCATACATGTCTTTTGGTATCTAGAAAGCTGACCTAGTGATTCAAACAGAAAAGATTAGATTCCTGAAATACACTTCTGATTCTATCACTGACTCATTGTGCAGGCTTAAGCAAGTTATCTAATCTCCTGGTATCTTAGTTTCTGCACCTATAAAATGGAGGTAATAATATTTGCTATAAGATAACATCAGCTATGCACTTGAAGAACCTCAGATGGAAGGCGCCAGAAATATGTTGCTATCTGCAGCATGACCTCATACTGTCTGAGAAATGGACCTTACCAGGCTTGTTGATTATCCCAGCACCTTACTTCCAAACTTCTCCTGTTCAACTTACTTTTTTACTTTATTCGTTTCTATTTACCGGGTACTCTTTATGTATTTTAATTTCATTGGCTGTTTTTATTGTTTTGAGGAGAATTGATACTTTGAAGAAACCATGAAACTAAAACTTTAATTTTTTTGTTTAAATTATTATGTTTAAAATTTGAAACAAATTTTTTAAAGCACTTAACTTTCCAATTATGGGAGATGGCTGTAGCTATGAGAGTTATATTAGCCTTATCCATTCATTCCTCTTGTTTACTTAGAGTTTATTTCACATTAATGTTAGCATGCACATATTTACATTACTCCCTGTATACTTTACAAAAGCTTTAAGGCAGATGTTGAGACTGCTATAAATTTGGATGTTTGTGTTCCTTTTCTGCAGGAACGAGATAACAGGTGATATAAGGGCAAAGGGTTCATTGCTTAGAGCTAAATCTAAGCTTAACCTATAGTCCAACCAGCTAATACATGTAGATCTCCTTTGGGCAAACTGCAAAGGTCAAAGGGCCACCTTGGGAATAACCAGATGACTTAAAAAAACAGAACTGCTGATTCAATAACAAAACTTAGAGGTAAAGCCAGAGATAGGAAGTTGGCTGCATTTTCTGAACACAAAAGTACTTCGTTCCCTCTCTCTGCCAACTTGCTTATTCAAGGCTAATGAAAATATTTCAGAGGAGCAAACCTTTGGTCTTTGGAACTTGCCTGTTAACAATAGAAAGCTTAATTCTTTGGAACTATTTCCAAAGGAAAAGATTTCATTGGAATTTGCTCACTCAGATCTTATATTTCAAGCAGCAAGTATTACACTACTCCAACACAGTTTGAGATGCCTGTTGAATGTTGGACAGATCATGGACTATAAGTGATTCTCTTTCAGAGGCTATATCAAGCAAAATATTCTGGGCTTTACATTATATTAAGCTATTACAAACTTTGCCAATTTTATAGAATCAGCATTGACAGAGACTTTAAATATCATCTAGTTCAATTTCCTTTTTTTTTTTTTTTTTTTTTTGAGACGGAGTCTCACTCTGTCGCCAGGCTGGAGTGCAGTGGCGTGATCTTGGCTCACTGCAACCTCTGCCTCCTGGGTTCAAGTGATTCTCCTGCCTCAGCCTCCTGAGTAGCTGGGACTGCAGGTGCGTGCCACCACGCCTGGCTAATTTTTTTTAACTTTAGTAGATATGGGGTTTCACCATGTTGGCCAGGCTGGTCTCGAACTCCTGACCTCGTGATCCGCCCGCCTCAGCCTACCAAAGTGCTGGGATTACAGGCGTGAGCCACCACGCCCTGCCCAACTTACTTTCAAATTAGGACATCAGAACCATAATAGGCCTTTGTTATTAGAGAGCATTCTACCTAACAGAGTTCCAAACATTATTGTCAGGTTTTTATCTCTATAAAGAGGTGTAAATTTCACTAGATAATCCGGTGATTCTATGGGCCAGGCAGTATGTTTCCTCAACATACATGCATTATGTGTTTTTTTTGTTAGTGTAAGTATGGACTTTATTTTTTTTAAAGTCTTTTGAGGACTACAAATTACAAAGTAAAAGCAGATCACTACATAGAAATCTAGTGAATACATTTTGCCTGTGCATGAAAACTTTATCAAAGTTATTCATTTAACAAATTCACCCCATTCACAATATTCAGCTATAATGTTCTTTTAAAGGTTACTATACCTTTATTTAAAATTATGTTACGTTATTCCCTCAAAATGAACTTTTAAACGACAAACTTTTGGCTCATAAGAATGGCACCTTCAAAAGGGATGACTTCCACTCAGTCTCTGGTGGCATTATTCCAGGCTAGTTTCTTTCACCAGTTAAAAACCTTCAAAATGTTCACTTTTAACACAGTCTTTCCATAAAAAATATGGCTACATTCCACCACCACCTCCCCAAGCATCGTATGCTTATATTATTTAATGCCATTTTTGCTCCTTAAGAAGTGGATACTGCCTGAGTATGGTGGCTCACGCCTGTAATTCCAGCACTTTGGGAGGCCGAGGCGGGTGGATCACTTGAGTCCAGGAGTTCTAGACCAGCCTGGGTGACACAGCGAATCCATCTCTACAAAAATTAGCTGGGTGTGGTGGTGTGTGCCTGTAGTCCCAGCTACTCAGAAGGTTGAGGTGGGAGGATTGCCTGAGCCCGGGAGGCGGAGGTTGCAGTGAGCCAAGATCATGCCACTGCACTCCAGCCTCAGTAACAGAGAAAGACCCCATCTCAAAAAAAAAAAAAAAAGTGGACATTATGATGGAATACAATGTAGAATTGTAGAATGATGGTTAAGAATGCAGATTCTGGAGTCAGACTGAGTTCAAATCCTAGCTCCATCAGTTACTAACAGTAGTTCTGGGTCTGTGTTTCCTCATTGGTAACAGAAAGATAGTAATAGCACCTACTTCAAATATTATGAAAATTAAATGATATAGTATATGTATGGTGCCTAGCATGGTGCCTGGCACATATTAAATGGTCAATAAACGTTACTGACTTAATTATTTACAGACTACACTAAGCTTACAGTGTGACATAGGTTGGGTTTTCTGAGAAGCAGACTCAGAGTACAAGGTATTTAGTAGGGAGTGCCTTGGTATCAACACCCATGGAAAGGAGGAAAAGGAAGGAGAGGGGAGAGGAAAAAGTCATGCTATAATACAGGCCCCATAGCTTCAGCCAACCCCATAGGGAAGCTCTGGAGTGCAAATGGCCCACCATAGTTGCACTGTGTGGGGCTGAGAAGGCCAAGCCTTTGTATCCCGTGTCATTAGAGTGCACCACTCTCCCCCTCCCCAACGTAGTCTTCAGCAAGGTGGTTTTCTGCAGCTGAGGCAAGCTGTGAAGTGGTTGAGAGTGAAGGCTGTCCACTGAACACACTCCCAGCAGATGGCAAAACAAATTACTCCTTGAAAGGAGATCCAGGTTGCACATCTCCGTGTTCAACACGGGATAGTCTGTGCAGCACTTGGAAAATATCAACAAATTATAGTTACTTCAAGAAAAGAAAGTGAGGTTGATTAAGTATGGGAGTAGGATGGTGAAGATGAATGGGAAGAATAAACCATGGAGAGAAAGAGCTATTTGCATGTGATCAAAAAGCTTTCTTGAAAAAAAATTAATTAAAAAATAAAAAAAAAACCTTTTAAATTTTATAACTAGAGATGGGGTCCCACTATGTTGCCCAGGCTGGTCTTAAACTCCTGGGCTTAAGTGATCCTCCCACCTCATCCTACCAACGTGCTGGGATTATAGGCATGAGCCACTGTACCCAGCCAGGAAAGCTTTCTTATTCTTTATAGTACCCCTGATTTGGGGCAAGGGTGGATTCTGATAACTGTAAGGCCTTTTGTTTAATAAACTTTGTGATGGGTTGGGGCTTGTAATGGAGGTATAAGATGGGAAGAAAGCCCAAGTTATTCGTATGACAAGGGTCACCTAAGAGGCTGGAAGTAGGAGCCATCACAGTTGATGCCACACAGGAAAAGGGGAGAGAACTGTTGGTGGTTAAGAATTTTGGTAAATGAGGCCGGGTGCGGTGGCTCACACCTGTAATCCCAGCACTTTGGGAGGCCAAGGCGGGTGGATCACCTGAGGTCAGGAGTTCGAGACCAGCCTGGCCAACATGGTGAAACCCCGTCTCTACTAGAGATACAAAAATCAGCCAGTGTGGTGGCCCAGGCCTCTAATCCCAGCTACTCGGGAGGCCCAGGCAGGAGACTTGCTTGAACCTGGGCGGCGGAGGTTGCAGTGAGCCGAGATCGCACTGCTGCACTCCAGCCTGGGTGCCAGAGCAAGACTCTGTCTCAATAAAAAAAAAAAAGATAGTAGTTACATTATTTTCCCCATTTTTAGACAAGGAAACTGAAGCATAAAGAGCATAAGTTGCTAGTGTCATTCAGTGAGAAAGGCATGGAGCTGGGATTTGGCCCTAGGCAGTCAAACTCCAGACCGTAGGGCCTGTACTCTTAATCATACTCTCCCTCATTACAGTAAGGATAAGGATGCTTCTGTTTTCTGTGGGATGTGTTTTTTGTGTACTATCAACAATTTTTCCTCTGTAGGAAATTGCCAGTGCTCTGGATGCAAATGGATTTTTCCTTAGGAATTCAGAGTTGCTGAGTTTTGCATCAAGACTGAAAGAGGCCAAAAAGAGAAGCTGTGTGGTAAGCAGGGGCAGTTAACCAATCCCTGGGGTACATGTAAGCATTTTGAAAAAGATTAACTGTGAGTCAACATTGCAGTAAATTTAGTTATAAAATCATGATTATGTATGCAAATATGTGTCAACAGGTAGGACTGTGTGATGACTCATCCTACTCAAAATTCTCTAGACTCGGTTTGTGCAATATTGGATTCTACAATGCTGAGCAAGGGAAGAAAAGTGTTTAAAGGAGAGCCACAAATAAGAATATATAGGTTGAATATAAACTTTATAGAGCCTGAATAGATTGGAATGGAATAGATGGAGGCTTCACACTCCTTCCCACATGCATTGTCCTATGCATCTCTTCATCTGGTGTTCATCGGTATCCTTTGTAATATCCTTTATAATAAGCTAGTAAATGTGAGTACAGTCATGTGTCACTTAATGAAGGAGATACATTTTGAGAACTGTGTTGTCACCAGGCGTGGTGGCTCTTGCCTGTAATCTCAACACTTTGGCAGGCTGTGGTGAGAGACTTGCTTGAGCCCAGGAGTTTGAGACCAGCCTAGGCAAAATAGTGAGACTCCATCTCTATAATAAATAAATAAAAATAAAAAAGACGATTGCACTGTTAGGCAATTTTGTTATTGTGCAAACATCTTAAGAGTGTCCTTCCACATAGCTAGAGGGTATAGCCTACTACACACATAGGCTATATGGTATATCCTGTTGTCTAGGCTGCAAGCCTGTACAGCATGTTCCTGTACTGAATACTGTAGGGAATTGTAACACAATGGCAAGTGCAGTTAACAATGGAACAACTAGAGGATTAGGGGTTTGACACCCACACAGTCAAAAATCCATGTATAACTTTTGACTTCCCCAAAACTTTACTAATAGCCTCCTGCTAACTGGAAGACTTACCAGTAACATAAACAGTTGATTAACACATTTATTATATACTGTCTTCTTATAATAAAGCTAGAGAAAGTAAAATATTAAGAAAATCCTAAGGAAAACATATTTACCGTACTGTACTGTAATTATCAATACTGTAAATTTAGGGTTAGTTAAATGCCCCTCCATTTCCAAAATGAGTCAGCTGTCTGAAATGGCAGGCAACTGCAGCTACAGACCTCAATCAAAGTACTTATCAAGCAATTCAACTTTTTCTCGTAGTGTCATTTTTTTCTCTGCTTCTTGGGAGCATTTCTAGCATCACTGGTGGCACTTTGTATGGGGCTCATGGTGTTATTCAAGGTTTAGGGTATTGCATTAAACATGATGAAAAACGCGAGAAGTGTGAGAGATCACTTTTTACTGCAATACGCAATTTACTAGAGCCAAGAACTGCTTGTGTGGAGATGATTAGCTCACAGGGTGTTTTATGTGGATACTCTCAACCCTTGAGTTCTGCTGTAATAGCAACAGGAGGTGGTTACAAACTTATTTCAGTGGAACAGTAGGTACTACAGTTAATTTTACGCAGTTGTTTGTTTTAATTAGTTAATTAGACAATTTTTGTTCTTTCCATAGCTTTAGTGGTACAAGTGGTTTTTTGTTACATGGAAGAATTGTATCCTGGTGAAATCTGGACTTTTAGTATAGCCATCACCTGAAGAGCACACATTGTACCCACTAGCTAATTTTTCATCAGTTACGGTTTAACAGTGCATTTTTAGATTTTTAAATATTTATCTAGACTGCAAATGGTACAATGTATGGTGTGTGTTTGTGTGTATAGGTTTTGATAAATTTTAACTTTTTTAAATAGATTTATGTATGGTAGTAAATGATAGACTAGTATCTACATGTATTTTATGTACTCTTCACATACCTTTATTTTTTTTGATATTTCTAGTCTATGAGGTTCATCTGGTTTTTCAAATTGTTGCAAATCTCCAAAAAATTTTCCAATACATTTATTGAAAAAAAATCCATGTATAAATGGACCCACACAGTTCAAACCCAAGTTGTTCAAGGATTGACTATTTGTCTATCTAAACATACCTAAACATAGAAAAGGTACAGTAAAAATACAGTATTATAATCTTATGGGATCACCATTGTCTATGCAGGCTGACATTGAAATGTCATTATGTACAGCATGACTGTATAGTGTTTCCGAGTTCTGTGAGCCTCTCTAGCAAACTAATGGAGCTCAAGAAGGGGTTATGGGAACCCTAACTTATAGCTAGTTGGTTAGGACCCTTGGTCACCATCTGGGGCTTCTGATTGTCATCTGAAGTGGGAGCCATCTTGTGGCACTGAGCCTTCAACCTATGGTATCTGATGCTATCTCCAGGTAGTGTAAGAAGTGAATTGAATTAGAGGACACCCAGCTGGTGTCTGCTGCAAAATTGCTTATTTGCTTAATGCGTGGGGAACCCCCCTCCACACACATCTGGAGTCAGAAGGGTGTTGTGAGATTAAAGTGGGAGAAACTGAATTTGTTTATTCCTATATTCAGAATGGGGTCCTTGAGAACATCATAGTGGTAAGCATAGATGTTCTAAAGTCAGACTGCCTGGGTTCATCTCTCTGCTCCACCACTTCGAGAGTTACTTTAGCTCACTGTGCTTCAGTTTCCTATTAAGTTGGGATAATAATACCATCTCATAGAGTAACTTAAGAATTAAATCAGTTAATATACATAAAGCACTTGGAAGTGTTTGAAGCATTAATAAACACTCAATAGCTAATAAAAAATAGAAAAGGGTGAGGAACAACTTAATACATATTCAAATATATATTATAGATCTTTTCCATATTTGTTGTAGGGAAAATAAGAGGAAGTGTATTTAAGCTCTGAGAGATCTGGATTTTATCAAATTAAAAAAAAAGAGGGACTAGATAAAACATTTACCCATTAAGAAACATAATTAACTACTCAGGGTGAATATTTCTATAGAGGGCTGTATAGCATGCAGTAGATTCTGTAATTGAGTTTAGCCTAAGAATGGTATTCTCTAAAAGTGGGAAAACAATCCCTAGAAAATCAAGTTTGATCTAGTACATGGCCACCTACCACCTCACTTGCCCAAGAAACATACTGAAAACTAAAGCTTGGTGTTCTATTGAGGGAATTACAGCAAATTAACAAGTGCTGATGTATGTTAAAATAGTACCCGAAGTTTTGACAACTATCTTCCTGGTTTAGCCTAGAGAAACAGAAGCAATGGGAAGAAATCACATTTGTAGTAGACCCATGACCAGGACTCAGATTTTAAAACTTAAAATGTTTCCATTACCTTGAATTTCCCTTCGTTGGGTTTTTTAAAAAGCTAAAATGAAATGCCATTAATGACATAGCATGGCATTACATATAGAAGGTCTTTATATAGTTGAAGAAGTATTCAGTTGTCCTTTAACATATCAGCCCACTTCTTGGCCTGACCTCAGGACACAGCCCTACCACAACCCAAACTCCTGGTCCCTGTTAAAAGGGTGACCTAGGAAGCTATGCTTTATCATATATTCTTCTCAGGAATCCTTCATACACTGAATTGAGCCATTAATGTCATCTTTTTGGCATTTAAGTCACAAAGGGGAAGTTGCTAATTGGGTAGCAGCAATAGAGAGACAGAGGGAATGGCTGCTGGTCTCCAAATGAAAACAGTCTTCACAGTTCCTGTATTTTCCTTTTCCTGGAGTCTGAGATGTATATTCTTGCAATCTTCACCCCAGCCCTCTTTTGCTCATTTCCTGGTTGGACAGGGTTTTTATTCTCTACAATCAATTTCTGACCAAATATGTGTGGCTCTACTTCAAACTAAAAGTCAACATATTGACATGCAGAGATAGGAATTTAGTCTATCACTTTATGCTTAGTATCTGGGGAGAAGATATATGAGCTAAACAGAAGAAAGAGAAATTTTCAGCACTTCTACAGTCAATCAAATCTGGTCAGTTCTAATTCTCGAATATTTTTCTTATCCATCTTGTTCGTACATCCATAGCCATCTTTTATCTGAATTATAATACCCTCTTAGGCAACAGAAAAAGATGGAAGAATACTTGCTAGCTATTTTTAGAAAATGCAAATGCCAAATATCACTGTGGAAAGACCTCACAGCTTCCCAGTCTTTTCCCTTGATATTCCACCTTTCCCTTGAGGACCTGTAATGATCACTGTCTCTATCAGAGAAGTGCATTTCCCTTCCACGGCGTAGATTGGTCCTCTTTGTTTTTCCTTATTCATAGCATTGCTAAACCCAGATGAGTTATATACAACTTTTAGATAGGGCTTAGGCGTAATGGGGGATGGGGGTGGGGAAAGCAAATAAAACACTAAGATGCAACTTACCTAGCTATAATTAGGTATGGCTTGCTCTTTTTATTCAATAAATATTTGAGCATTCTGTGATTGCCACGGTGCATATATTGATGACACATCACTGCTTGCAAGATGCATGTGGTAGCAGGGGTATGCTAATGCTGCCACAGGGTAATAAAGGATAAATCAGAGTGTGGAGCACCTCAGTCACTTTAAAATGCGCAGGAAAGTCTGTGTTCTCTCCTTTTATCTGGAAGATTCACCAGTCATTTGAGCCCTTTGAAGTGACTCATTCAACCCCCAAAATGGTTTGGCTGGACACTACCCAGTTTTGGATAAAAGGACAGGAGCTGGCTTCAGCTAGCAGTTTGCAGAGGTTTTCTTTCATCAGGGGTATCATTGGTTATCTTGTAATGCTTGCGATGAATTTTTCCAGCCTCTAATTCACCCAACCCAGGAACTCCTCACGCTGCTGGGTTTTGTAACAATAAAGGTCTTATTGTTTAAGCTACCAAAAAAAGAAAAAGAAAAAAGAAAGAAAGAAAGAAAGAAAGAAAAAAAACAGGAGGCACCTAAAATAGTATCTGGGGGAAGGGAATTATGAAAGATTTCACTGAAGTGCTGCCCTAAGAAAACGAAGACTTTAAGGACAAATAAAAATTAGCAGAACATGAGATTGGAGAAAGCGAGAGGGCAGGAAATGAAGTATTCCAAGAGTCTAAGAATGTGCAAAAGACAAGTGAATGATGTGTTTAGGAAATTGCAAGTAGTTCATTATGTCTGGGGTGTAGAGTACAAAGGGGTTCTTCTGTTTATGCTCAGGTGACAGGAACTAGTTTCTCTACCACCCACAAGGGTCCTTAAACACACAAGGAATTCTCAGAATCCAGGCCAGAAAGAGGGCATTCAAGGGAGGAATTTCCTCCTTTTCCAGTCAATGGCAGCCTTCTCAGCTTGGTTTTCCAGGCTCAGGAACCCCATCTTTGGTGGTTAATGCCAATAAAATCCTCTTCCTTAGGGAAAAACACTATCCTCTTATACCACAAAATTTTACTACATGATCTTGATAAGGACAAAATAGCAGAATAATGCATTATCTTTACGTATTTAATGTAACTGCTTGTTTACACTGCCAAAAGAAAGGCTACTTTCCATAAACTTGAGATCATAGGGAAACTGGATATTATACTTTTAGCTTAGGCGTTAACTAATGGTACAAAGTATGTAAACCCCTATCACTTCTAAATGGCAGTTCACTGAATGAAAATCAGTTTACTTCCAATTTTTGTTTTGAGGATTAGAGGTTTAGAAAACATCTTTAAATATTAAAAAGTCATTAAAACAAGGGAAGCAAATTAAGTTTCAAATTAAGTTACTGTGGTTTTCCTGGGCCACTGTTGTCAGCCAGTTACAATGTGCTCCATTTCTCTAGACCCTAGCTCCTATTCTGAAGCTGGTATCTTACTTAAATTTTCCTTTCTAGGCCAGGCTCCGCGGCTCATGCCTGTAATCCCAGCACTTTGGGAGGCCAAGGCAGGTGGATCACCTGAGGTCAGGAGTTCAAGACCAGCCTGGCCAACATGGTGAAACTCCGTCTCTACTAAAAATACAAAAAATTAGCCGGGCATGGTGGTGTGAACCTGTAATCCCAGCTACTCGGGAGGCTGAGGCAGAAGAATCACTTGAACATGGGAGGCGGAGGTTGCAGTGAGCCGAGATTGCGCCACTGCACTCCAGCCTGGGCAAGAGTGAGATTGTCTCAAAAATAAAAAAAATAAAAAATAAAAAAAATAAAAAATAAATTTTCCCTTCTAAAAGGATCACAGTAACATGAATAGCAAATAGAACATTTTAGGCAGCAATTATCTAAAACGTGGATGCTCTTGAGCATGCATTCTCAATGGGGGTGAAAATTGGTTCATTGGGGACAAAAAAAAATTCTATTTTGTATAAAGCAAAAAACATTTACAGTCCATAAACAGATACATAGTATATATCTGGTGTTGAAATATCATGGGGAAGGGGTGACTAAGAAAAAAATCTAAAAAAGTTCTTCAGGGAGGTGATAAAGAAAAGGTTAAGAAGCCAGGTGTAGTGACTTATGCCTGTAATCCCAGCTACTTAGGAGGCTTAGGCAGGAGGACTGCTTGAGGCCAAGAGTTCAAAAACAGCCTGGGCAATATAGCGAGATCCCATGTCTACTTAAAAAAAAAAAAAAGAAAAGCTGCTGTGGAGATTCTTTTGCTAAGTCAGGAATATCTAACTTAACTGTATTTTTAAAAACCCTAAGTGCCGAGATAAAATGGAAAGTTACGGCTATTCCACTTCTAACCAATGTACTTGCAAATGGCTCCAGTTCTTTGATTTTTGTTTCTCCTAGCCAGAGTTGCTACAATTGTTCAAGGAAAATACTTGGATTTCTTTTTTTAAAGATGATAAATCATTAAGTTTATAACACATAGAGAGTATAAACCAAGAAAGTAAATTTATTTAAATTACTAAAATAGCTTTTAAAGTCATTTACAGATCAGCTGCTATAATTATTTTTCCTGAAAGACATAGGTAACATATTACTTTTAAATTACTTGGGTCAATGAAACATTTAATAAAAACATTTGTTTCTCTATATAATACGTATGTATAAAATAAGCCTTTTCAAAAACTCTGGTTTTCATAATCCTCTATAAATCAGATGATCTGACTTCTAAGAGGAACAAATTACAGTAAGGGGTATACATTTATGAATACTGGTAGTACTAGAGGAAAGACGTTAAACCACTCTACTACCACTTGTGGAACTCTCAAAGGGTAAATGACAAAGCCAATGACTGACTCTAAAAACAATATTTACATTTAATGGTTTGTAGACAATAAAAAAACAAGGTGGATAGATCTAGAATTGTAACATTTTAAGAAAACCATAGCATTTGACAGATGAGAAAGCTCAATTATAGATGCAAAGTTATAACTAAACTACTATAGTAGTAAAGAAATACATTTCACACCCTTCATATAAATTCACTATCTTGGCTTGAGGCACTCCATAAAATGTATCACGTGCATAGTAAATCTTTATATTTGCTATGGCGTTGCACTAGAGGACTTGGACTGCAACAAGTGGATGCGCGGAAAATGAAATCTTCTTCAATAGCCCAGGACAGCTGGTTAACAAATGGTTTGTCAATTCCTGAAACTCATTTCTTAATTCAAAACAAAAGCTTCAGGGTGTGTCCAAAATAAACTGTTACGAATTGACCTACTTTTTTTTTTTTGAGACGGAGTTTCATTTTTGTTGCCCAGACTGGAGGGCAATAAGCATGGTCTCGGCTTACTGCAACCTCCGCCTCCCGGGTTCAAGCAATTCTCCTGCCTCAGCCTCCCAAGTAGCTGGGATTTCAGGCATGCACCACCACGCCCAGCTAATTTTTGTATTTTTAGTAGAGACGGGGTTTCACCATGTTGGCCAGGCTGGTCTTGAACTTCTGACCTCAGGTGATCCACCTGCCTTGGCCTGACCTACTCTTAAGACTCAAGTGAACAAATATATTAAATTTTGCAATATACATGAAGAATCCTTGGGACAGCCAAGAATTTTTCTTCAAGGAAGGAAAAAGGAGATGTAAAAAACAAATCCCAACGGAATCCACCAAGATTAACAGTTCATATACCTATGTTTGACTAAACTACATCTCAGTGGATTACTGTAACATTTCCTCCCTTCAGCTTCCCCATTAATTTTCCTTCCTTGCCTTGTTCTTTCCATTTTCCAAAAAACAAAAGAAAAAAATTCCAAACACACACCTAGATGACCTTTCATTACTTATGTTCCTATAGGCAGAAGCTAAGGAACTCACACCTAAATGGTATAAAAGGGAACATAATGGGAAAATCCCTGGTTACATTTAGGGAGCAATCTTACTAATAACTCAGGAAACTTAGTGAGAAATCTAAGTTAAAAAATCAGGAAGGTTCATAAGAAAGGACACAAATCCCTCTCACTGGTCATACCATAACTGTAATAACTCAGCCCAGAATCAAAACAGATTCTCTAAGGAACTGCATATAATCTGCACTCCTAAGATACCTTTAACAGAGCTCTCAATGGAAACTGAAATGATTCTCTCATATCACAGATAATTAGGTTGAATGAATGATTTATATGTTCCATGTTTATGTAAGCACTTAACTTCTTTAAAAAGAAACTAGTTCTTTCAAAAAGAGCTCTGAATTCTGTCTCTGGTTAGAAAGTGTGAACAATTCTCAGAACTTGGGACATGATTTTTCTTCTCTCTCACTTCTTATAAGCAGATGCCCCTTTTCAGGGCATTTTCAGGTTGCACAGGCAGAACTAAGTGAGAAATACGGCTCCAGAGGCCATTCAGTTTGTCTGGGTCCATATGATTGTAGGAGTTGGGTGTGTTAGAATTGGTGAACTTGACTTTAAGAAAATCTCTTACTTTTTCTTCAACTTCCTTTAGGCCTAGACTTGTTCCAAGTGTCTCTTCCTCCAATAAGACAGTCAGGACTAAGGCTACATCTTTGAAGGCCGCGTTTTCATGGTCACAATATTTGTAGAAGATCAAAGTAGAGCCTGCGGGAAATGACTCAAAGCGGTGTACCACAGCTGCATTCTGGCCATTCTTAAATCCATTGCTCAGTTCTTGGTCTACCTCTAGTTTGACAGTATCACTGTCTTGAGTAGCTTTATCTGTCCCATCAATCCGGATGGCACGGACACTACGAAAAGAAGAATAGGCATCAGCAATTTGTTCACTCAGACACCTAAGTGCTTCTTCAGCATCTCGGGCAGCAGTGAGCAGTAAGATAGCAGGCTGAGACCGAGGATGGGAGCTATTAAGATGTTTTTCCAGGAATGTTTGGCTCCTTTTCCACAGCTTCTCATCTTGACCTTGGTACTTATTCTTAAGTTGATTCATCTGGTTCTGGAACTCTTGAACAGCAGTGGTTTCTACCTCAGGAGTACTAAAGAACCAAAAACTCCCAGAGGCAAGAGCAGCTATCAGAGGAAGTAGCCACCACCGGTTCCTCTTGACAAAAGATGCATTTTGGGGTTGTCCAGTCACTTCTACTCAGACAAAAAAGAAATGACAGATATAAATACCACTTTCTTAGATTCAGGGGCAAGTGACTTTTAAAATCAATATCAGTCTTTATAAACATTAGGTAAAAGAGGAAGGACTTTAAAGAAGAAAGCTGATAATTTTCTTAATAAAATAATTTATCACATTCTCAAGAAAATCTTACATGCATAGGCTTTGAATTATGTGTACAAATATGCATATGTCTCTTCAATATAAAAATAAGTCTTTGAGGAAAAAAGTTTTTAAACATATGAAATGGCATAAACAAGTCAGAAAAATAATAGTTTATAAAGCGAAGTTATTATTTTCACTGCTAATAGTTGGGAGAATAGACTATTAAAATACAATTTATAAAATATTTTTTTAATTTAGTAACTCAGCATTCACATGGCTAATTATTCAAGGTGAAATATTTCTGAAGTACATAAAGGGATAAAGAAAAGGATGCAGGCTGGAAGTGGTGGCTCATGCCTGTAGTCCCAGCACTTTGGGAGGCCGAGGAGGGAGGATCACGAGGTCAGGAGATCGAGACTGTGAAACCCCGTCTCTACTGAAAATACAAAAAACTAGCTGGGTGTGGTGGCACACACCTGTAGTCCAGCTACTTGGGAGGCTGAGGCAGGAGAATCACTTGAACACGGGAGGCGGAGGTTGCAGTGAGCCGAGATCACGCCACTGCACTCCAGCCTGGGTGACAGAGAGAGATTCCATCTCAAAAAAAAAAAAAAAAAAAAAGAAAAGGATGCAATATAAATGAACATCTTCTACGTGTTATAATAGCTAGCTGTCCCTTTAGATTAATTTCACTGATGCCTTTTGTGGTATGCAAGTTAACACTGGTAAAATTTAGTTTGTGACTCATCCCTAGTTACTATTGGCAATAATAATAGGATTAATTTATATTTATCTAGTGCTTTTCGGTTTATAAAGTACTTTCTCATATTCTACTTCATTTATTCAGTTGATAGTAACAATAATACTTTTACATCTTTTACTTATTGACTGTTTCAGGCTATTAATTTTAGTAGGGACCTTTTAGAGCAGCAATTCTCAAGGCGTGGTCTGTGGGGTACCTCAAGACCCTATTTTGTGGGGAGGGGGGTCCATGAAGTTAAAGCTATTCTTCTAACACTAAGATGTTATTTGACTTTCACCTTGTGTTGACATTTGCACTGATGACGCAAAAGCTATGGTGAGAAAAACTTCTGATGCCTTAGCATGAGTTACAGGGCAGTGGCACCAAACTGTACGAGTGTAGTCATTGTTATTTTTCACTGCCATGCATTCAAGATTTAACAAAGGGACATTCTTTTACTTAAGAATGTCCTTTATGAAGCAGTTAATTATTTATCTTATTAAATCTGAATCCTTGAGTACATATGTCAATATTCTTTCTGAACAAATGGAAGGTATGCACAAAGCACTTCTGCTGCATCATACAGTACCATGGTTGTCTCAAGGAAAAGAATTTTGTGCAAATGAATTACAAGGCGAATTAGCACATTTTTCATGGAATACTATTTTTTACTTGAAAGAACAAGTAACAAACTACAGTCAGACTTGTGTATTTGGCAGATATTTGCTTTCAAGTGAAAATTAGGATTTTAGAATCCTAAATCTGCCACCATGAGCTTGACAACTCCCAATATTGTACTTTAACACTTTCTTTTTTTTTTCTGAGATGGAGTCTCGCTCTGTGGCCCAGGATGACATGAAGTGGTGCGATCTTGGCTCACTGCAACCTCTGCCTCCCAGGTTCAAGTGATTCTCCTGCCTCAGCCTCCTAAGTAGCTGGGATTACAGGTGCGTGCCACCATTCCCAGCTAATGTTTTTGTATTTCTAGTAGAGACAGGGTTTTGCCATGTTGGCCAGGCTGGTCTTGAACTCCTGACCTCAGGTGATCCATCCGCCTGGGCCTCCCAAAATGTTGGGATTACAGGCATGGGCCACGAACCCCACCCTTTAACACTTTTTTAAAGTCTTGAGATTGGCAGTGATGTTAACAAATGTGATATTTTTTATTACATTCCTAATGTGTCAATGTTTGGAAAATCTGCATTCCTCAGTGAACCAATGTTTTCCAAATGACCAGTGCATGATACTCCATTCAAAGTATAAGAAAGACCAATGACTTTTAATGTAATAGAGTACTAAAAGCTCAGTAAGATGGTTTTAGATATCCTATTTCAAGTAACATTTAAGAAACTACCACTTGTTGAGTTTTGGAGAGTTCAAAAAAGAATAGCCACAATTATCTGAAGAGGCTATTAAAATTTTTCATATCTGTATAAAAGCTGGATTTTTTGTAGATACTTCAACAAAAATAATATATTGTAACAGACTGCATACAGAAGCATATATGATAATCCAAATCCATTTTTTAAAGCTAGGCATTAAAGAGATTAGAAAAAATGCAAAGCAATCTGATCTGTTACTCTTCTTGCTAAATTATTTTAAAATAAATTAATACATATTTTAAAAAATGTTTCAACTTTAATTTCCTGGTACATATGGATAGACATAACCCATATTTTCAACAAAAAGCTCTTTGAGGTTCTTAATAACTTTACTAGTGTAAAGCGGTACCAAGAACAAAAAATTTCAGAATCATCATTAATCTATTTTCTTTTTTTTTTTTTTTTGAGACAGAGTCTCGCTCTGTTGCCAGGCTGGAGTGCAGTGGCACAATCTCGGCTCACTGCAACCTCCGCTTCCTGGGTTCAAGTGATTCTCCTGCCTCAGCCTCCTGAGTAGGTGGGACAACAGGCGTGTGCCACCACGCCCAGCTAATTTTTGTATTTTTAGTAGAGATGGGGTTTCACCATGTTGGCCAGGATGGTTTCGATCTCTTGATCTCATGATCCGCCTGCCTTGGCCTCCCAAAGTGCTGAGATTACAGGCATGAGCCACCACGCTCAGCCCATTAAGTTATTTTCTTAGTACTCTTTCAGGACAATAAGACTTGGAGAACTAAAGAAACTTGCCACAAGGCTGTAAAGGAGGTAAGTGGTCCAATCTAGTTCAAATACAGGTTTGCAGACTCCGAAAGCCATTGTAATCCCATAAAGTCATGCTCTGGCTAACTTTCTTTCAATTCAGCATGGTTTTCTCAGTTAACAGTATTAGTAGCTTTACTTATTTTAGCTATTATTTTTGGTCTTATAGACAGTTAAGTGAAGAGCAATACCAGATGTTGTCTCATAAAGTTTGTCTATAAAGAATTTCACTGCTAGTAGAATATATACTTTTTCCTCTCAAGTGCTTAAAATGTGATTCTTCAAATAGCATCGAGTCATACTGCTGTCAAAAAACATTTTTAAACAATTATGGAATACCAATTTTACAGAAATATTTAATAAAAACTGAATACATAAACTTACGTCGGCTGGAGGTTGATGGTGACTGGTTTCCAAGCTCTGATTTCAGAATGCTGTCATCTAATGGTGAGAGTAATAAAATAAGACTATCAACTTATGCTTCATAATTTGAGTATTTATTTCTAGTAGACAAAGAAGATACAAATTCCACCAGGAAAAAAAGAAGACAGAGATCAGCCAGAAGCAGAAGAAAAAGTAGAATATCTGAGTGCCGATTAGACTGAGAGCTCCTTGAAACACATGACCTATTTCTTTCATAGCTTTTCACAGCATATGGTGGGGTCTAGTACAAAGCACACAATAATTAGTTTTGAGAGAAAGTTTGGAAGTATTTGACCCATTAAGTATCTAATGGGATTGGTGAAACTTCCGGGATAAAAAGGACAAAGAAACTAAGCACACCATAATAAAATGAAACATATTATACCATCTGAAAAACTGCCATATATTGAACTCTTGCCTGGTGAAGATGCTGTAAAGAGGGGGAAAATAAGGACAAAATGTGGATTACAGACTACTGAGCTGTCTGGATAAGGTGTTTTAATATAAAAATCTTAATCCTCACTATTTTCTACCTCAAACTGATTCAGTATTTCCTCTGGGGATTCTGACCATTTCAAATACTAGTAGTATTTTAAAATCACATTTAAAAACTTCTCATCATTTCTGTTAATAGACAAGTAATAAAGTAATTCTGTTTTAGGCTTGTGGTTAAACAATAGAGCTCAAAAATAATTTTCTCTCAACTCTGTCAAATTTCTACTTTCATCTAAATCTATTTAGAAAATAAATTAAGCCGGGCACAGTGGTTCATGCCTGTAATTCCGACAAATCAAGAGGCTGAGGTGACAGGACAGCTTGAGCACAGGAGTTTAAGGCCAGCCTGGGCAACATTGTGAGACCCCATCTCTAAAAAAAAAAAAAAAAATTAAAAACAAGAAAAGAAATTAAAAATGATCCTAACCCTTCCCTTTCCCTTCCATCTTTCTTAGCATACCAGCAGGTTTTAAAATCTAAGAGAGGAAATGGAAGGACAGGCTTCAGAAGGTGGAGAGGCTGAGTTATCTCATTTGTATGACCTATATTACCAGTATTGCCGTCTATCACTTGCCTGGAGTTTTATAACTTTTGTATATATAAATGAACTTCCTGGTGGATCTTCTTAGCGTTATATCAACAACTTTCATTTGAGAAACACTGGAATAACTGGAGGAATAATATTAGCCCTGCTAAGATTCAGAAATAGCCTTATTTTTGATCATATGACAAAAAACTCCATAATGATGTAGTAAGACAAAATGACAGCAACTGTAAGAGGAATACTGTTTTTCAATTACTAGTTTAGCTTAGGATATTTCATTATTTAGAAGCTTCTAAGTTAGGTTATCGAAGTTACAACTAAAATAACAATAAAAATACCTAACCACATGAAACCCAAATCCATCAGATAATGTTTATTTTGAATACTTCACTCCATGGTTGCAAAGATCAAATGAGATAATATATACAAAAATGCTGTGAAGTGCAATTCTATGATGTTAATGATGAAGGACAGCTAAATAATAATTATGTACCATATATAATATTTATATAATTCATATAACACAAACACATACACAGCAGGGTATATACTGCCAAGGCAGGACATTGTCCAAAGTATAACTGCTATCCTTTTTATCAACATTACTAGAGATGCTAACAACAATTCTAAAAAACATCTTTTTAAAAGAAAAAACTCAGCTGGGCGCAGTGGCTCAAGCCTGTAATCCCAACACTTTGGGAGGTCGAGGTGGGTGGATCACCTGAGGTCAGGAGTTTGAGACCAGCCTGGCCAACATGGTGAAACCCTGTCTCTACTAAAATACAAAAATTAGCTGGGTGTATTGGTGCACCACCAGCTACTTGGGAAGCTGAGGCATGAATGAGAATCGCTTGAACCCAGGAGGCAGAGGTTGCAGTGAGCTGAGATCACGCCACTGCACTCCAGCCTAGGCAACAGAGCAAGACCGTTTCAAAAAAAAGAAAAAAGAAAAAAGAAAAAAAAAAGAAAAAAAAGAAAAAAGAAAAAAAAAAAGAAAAAAAGAAAAAGAAAAAACTCAAGCTTTTCTAGTCTAAAGAGTATGGTGATAATCAATCACTCTACAACCATCAAGAGTAGAGGGCACAAATCCTCCATAGTTGCTATTGATTCTACAGAAAACATTAACAATAAATAAGCCCTGATAATTATGAGATTTTAGACTTTAAAAAATTGTGTTTACACATATAAGCTCATTACAATAATCTAGTTATAGGCACTACTGTCTCTAAAGGCAAGAAAATTGAGGTTCACAAAGGTTAAGTGATTTTACCAAGATTACTCAATTAGTAAGTGGAAGAGCTAGGACTGGAGCTCAAGAGCTTTAACTCCAAATTGTCTTCTTTTCTCTATCTAAATTTCTGAGACAGGTTCCAAAACATTTATATTAGTTCTCTGACCTCTCCATGCACATATATTCTTCTCTATAATCATTGTTTTATCACCTGGCAAACAGGAAAAAGTAAAGACAGTGGTTCCATCTTTCCTAAAAGGTTTGGATGCAGGCAGAAGCCTGAACTGGGACCTGTCTACAGGAAACTGTTGCTAACGTCGGGTGACAATGTTCCATGGGGTAGAATCTATAGCCTAAGGTTCTTGAACACTCAGCTCTAAAAATGACTTTTTTTTCCTCACCAAAGCGGGCAGAAATATATAGTTAAAGAATGAGAGATAAAATGTGGAATGCTAGGAAAACATTTTTTTAATATTCTTGAAGAGGAATCTATTATATAACAGTGTTTGAAAAATCACTGTAGTCTTCCACTTCCATTGAAAATATTTTCTTCTTGCTCATCGTTCTATCTTAAAGTCCTCATGTGGTTGAAAGTCTAAAAGATCCTATTACATGCACACTTCTGGTGTGTTACTGTTACATAACTCTGAAAGCTCAATGTGGTTATCTATATATGGTAGGTGGTTAGCAACCAATGTATAATTCTGTAAGCCATAATAAACATAGTAACTTAAGACAAAGTAGAAATGCAAACAGATAAAATACTAAAAATTAGCTATCAATTTAGCAACTAAAAAGATCTATTTCTGCATTTCTATTAGATGTTCAATATAATTATGTTTCCTTCTCTATTGCAGTGTCTTATTAGAGGAAAAAATTATGCAAAGATTTTCTGATAAGTATGTACTAACTTCACTTATCTGGAAGTCATTTATCTGATATTAATTACTCAGAATGTACAGTTAAGAACTAAGAAATGACACAAGATGCCTCTGAGCTTTTCACATTATATACACTAAAACTCATGCATTTTTACATCCAAGAGTATCTCTTGGGTCTTCAAATTTAATTTTAATGTTTGATCCTGGTTATAAACATAATTCTAATAAGCTGAATAATTAATGTTTGGTTTCCTAACTATAATAGGTCAGGAAGAGCAAATTATAAGAGGAAATGGTTTTCTAATAGCAGGCACATAATCACAGCAATAAGAAATGACAACCAACAGTAAGACAAGGGCAAAAAGTTATTTCGGTTCTAGACTGCTTAAGAACTCACTTACATGTGGGCTAAAAACGTCACTGCTGAGAAAAAATGAATTATGACCACTCCTACTTTACTGATGGAAAAGCAGAGCCACGCATGTCATTTGGTCCAATTACAGTTAATCATCCCATGAGCAAGAGATATAAGATGTGGATTTTTACATTACCTAAATAAAAGTAAGAGAATACCTGATGACCTCAAGACCTATTGTGGTTAGATGAGTAAAGTAGGGAGGTTAAAGGTCACTTAAGGCAGAGAATATGCATGGACTTTAAAAAAATATGGTCGAGATTTAACGTGGACGCATTTCCATAGAAATTATAGAAAGTGAGTTCAAAGTACGATGGTTTTATCACATCAATTTATAGTATTCCTTAAATTCTGTGACATTTAATCCATCCAAAACCTAAACATGAGGCTGGGTGTGGTGGCTCATGCCTGTAATCCCAACACTTTGGGAGGCTGAAGCAGGCGGATCACTTGAGGTCAGCAGTTCAAGACCAACCTGGCCAACATGGCGAAACCCCGTCTCTACTAAAAGTACAAATATTAGCTGGGCATGGTGGCGCATGCATGCAAGTCCCAGCTACTTAGGAGGCTAAGGCACAAGAATGACCTGAATGTGGGAGGCGGAGGCTGCAGTGAGCTGAGATTGTGCCACTGCACTCCAACCTGGGCGACAGAGGGAGACTTCATCTCAAAAAAAACCCAAAACAAAACAAAACACCCCCAAAAACCCAGAAAGGCTGGGCGCAGTGGCTCAAGCCTGTAATCCCAGCATTCAGGGAGGCCAAGGCAGGCAGATCATGAGGTCAGGAGTTCAAGACCAGCCTGACCAATATGGTGAAACCCTGTCTCTACTAAAAATATAAAAATTAGCCAGGCGTGTAACAATACAAAAATTAGCTGGGTGTGGTGGTACGCGCCTGTAGTCCTGGCTACTTGGGAGGCTGAGGCAGGAGAATTGCTTGAACCCGGGAGGCAGAGGTTGCAGTGAACTGAGGTTGCACCACTGTACTCCAGCCTGGGCAACACAGCAAGACTCCATCTCAAAAACAAAACAAAACAAAACAAAACAAAACAAAACAAAACAAAAAACAGAAAAAAAACCCTAAACATGAAAATATAACTTGTGCATTTCAGCCTTTATTATGTAAAATTATGAGTATACAAAGCTGTTCCAAAATCTGCTAAAAGCAAAAAATAAGTATTGTCAAAAGAGTAGAATTTCATTATTGTATACAGACTGTATTGCTGCTATAACTGACAGCTTGTTAAAATCCATCAATCTCTGGTTTTCTCTTTTTTTTTCTTTTTTTCAGATGGAGTCTCGCTCTGTCGCCCAGGCTGGAGTGCAGTGGTGCAATCTTGGCTCACTGCAAGCTCCGCCTCCTGGGTTCACACCATTCTCCTGCTTCAGCCTCCCGAGTAGCCTCCCGCCGCCACGCCCAGCTAATTTTTCTTTTTTAAATATTTTTAGTAGAGACGAGGTTTCACCGTGTTAGCCAGGATGGTCTCGATCTCCTGACCTCGTGATCCACCCACCTCGGCCTCCCAAAGTGCTGGGATTACAGGCGTGAGCCACCGCACCTGGCCAATCTCTGGTTTTCTCACGCCACTATTTACATTCTACACCCAGCCCATGTGCTGCCAGTCCAAGAAATTACTAAACTAGTAATCATAGCTGTACTTTATTAGTGAAATCACAAACAACCTAAATGTTTATCTGAAGAACTAAATATTTTTGTCAAGAAAAACATAGCAAATACACAAGATTATTTCAATAACAGAGATTTATCTACTTACTTTGCATCCTGGTCCTTATTCTTGCAGTTTGTGGGGCCCATTCCTGGGGAGTTTTTTGATATCCTGAGCCTGAAGCAAATACATATATCAAAAGATAATTTCCCATACTTTGAAAGTTTATACCATATTCCAGTGTTATAAAATTAATCTATCAGAAAGACAAAATAAAGTAGGGGAAGAAAACAATAAAAGCAATAGTTTTATAAGTAAAAGATAATTTCAAAGGATCGTATCAGTGAGGATGAACCACTTCCTACAGCAAAGCAGGTAGCAAATAAATATATTATCACATAATACAAATTACTTGTGGTAAAATAGCCCTGAACACATTTCCATATCACAGAGTAATTATTATAGGTAGTACCAATCCGTGGTGAATTAAAAAGGTAAAGAGGGGTAAAATGACTTAAAATCTTATTACAACTTTTGTTGGGAGAATAAGGCAAGGTTAGAATTGATTGACTGAGGCTGGGTGCGGTGGCTCACACCTGTAATTCCAGCACTTTGGGAGGCCGAGGCAGGTGGATCATGAGGTCAGGAGATCAAGACCATCCTGGCTAACACAGTGAAACACCGTCTCTACTAAAAATACAAAAAATTAGCCGGGCGTGGTGGCGGGCGCCTGTAGTCCCAGCTACTTGGGAGGCGGAGGCAGGAGAATCGCGTGAACCCAGGAGGTGGAGCTTGCAATGAGCCCAGATTGCACTCCAGCCTGGGCGACAGAGCAAGACATCGTCTCAAAAAAAAAAAAAAAAAAAAAGAGAAAAGAATTGATTGGCTGAAAAAAGAGCAGACAACCAACTACTTACTTAGCACTGAAGGTTGCTTATCATGAGCTGTGAAGTTTTGACCTGAAACAGAAAACAGGGATAAGGTCATAGAATACTTGAAAATAACAACAAAAAAGATGTTGCACAGACATTTTGCTTGTTTACTGTGGATACTAAAAACAAACAACAGACAAAAAACATTCTCTCATCAATTCCAAGCATATAAATATATAAAGTATATATATATAAAAAACATACATATACTATATATATACATATATATACATATATATATATATATATATATATAAAGTGTGTGTGTATTTCTTTCCCCCTCATTTCTAAACTTCAAAATGTTTAGGAATTGGGCAACAATAAGGAGTTAGTTTAGGATCAGTACCATCAAAATAAAAACTACATATAGTCATATATATCAAGTATAATTTTGTTTAATTCTTTTTTTTTTTTTTTTTTTGAGACAGGGTCTGACTCTGTCACCCAGGCTGGAATGCAGTGGCACAATCTCAGCTCACTGCAACCTCCGCTTCCCAGGTTCAAGATATTCTCCTGCCTCACCTTCCCAAGTACTTGGGATTACAGGTGTGCACCACCATGCCTGACCAAATTTTTTGTCTTTTTAGTAGAGACAGGGTTTCCCCATGTTGGCCAGGCTGGTCTCAAACTCCTGACCAGGGTTTCACCATGTTGGCCAGGCTGGTCTCAAATTCCTGACCTCAAATGCTCTGCCTGCCTCGCCCTCCCAAAGTGCTGGGATTACAGGCATGAGCCACCATGCCCAGCCAATTTTGCTTAATTCTTATGTGGTAGATGCTATTACTGTTCGTATTTTATAAATAAGGGAAAATCAGCTGGATGCGGTGGCTCATGCCTGTAATCCTAGCACTTTGGGAGGCCAAGGCAGGTGGATCATGAGGTCAGGAGATCGAGACCATCCTGGCTAACACGGTGAAACCCCGTCTCTACTAAATATATAAAAAATTAGCCAGGCGTGGTGGTGGGCGCCTGTAGTCCCAGCTACTCGGGAGGCTGAGGCAGAAGAAGGGCGTGAACCTGGGAGGCGGAGCTTGCAGTGAGCTGAGATCACACCACTGCACTCCTGCCTGGGCGACAGAGCGAGACTCTGTCTCAAAAAAAAAAAAGGGGGGGGGGGAACCAAAATTGGTAATTTTTCCAAAATTATATATCTAAAAGTAGTTGGGCTGAGATACAAATCCAGGCAGTCCATATCATATACCACATACCATACCATAAAGAAATGGTATGTACTATCTATGCAGATTTATGGACATTGCAAAGTAGCTATGAAGTAAAACATGCTACTTCAGGTTTTGAGGTGGTATTTAAGGATAACTGTAAAATGACACAATGGGATGACTAAAAAATGACATTACAATTATAACAAGGTAAATTTTCAAATCTGCCCTGAGAAAATGAGTTACTCTTTGATGATAAATACAAGTATCGATTTACATTTATTTATTTTCAACTTTTTCTGAATACAAACATGTGCTAGCTGTTTAAAAAAAGGGGCCATTCTAGAAATGCTTAATTTAAAAATTCATGAATATCTATCTGTTAAGTATCTACTATGTGCAAAACATTGAACATAGAAATATTATGGTAAATAAGACAGATATTCTCTCAGCTTTGTTTTCAGCCTATACTAAAAATATACTTTTAAAAAAGTGGATACATACGTTTTAATATTTTCATCAAATTCTAAGACATACTTTTTAAAAAATGCCCTTTGATCTACAGATATATCTTTTAATTAATGGTATGGCATAGTTTAACTGGATGGTTTTTCTTTCTCATTGATACATAAAATCAATAGTATCTTAAAGTCAATGAAATATATCTTGATCAACTTTTCATTAGGATACAATGAACTAACTCATTTTTCATTTCTAAATAGTATTTCTTTTTTTTTGAGATGGAGTCTTGCCCTGTCACCCAGGCTGGAGTGCAGTGGTGCAATCCCAGTTCACTGCCGCCGTTGCCTGTTGGGTTCAAGCGATTCTCCTGCCTCAGCCTCCCAAGTAGCTGGGATTACAGGCACCTATCACCATACGTGGTTAATTTTTGTATTTTTAGCAGAGACGGGGTTTCACCATGTTGGCCAGGCTGGTCTCAAACTCCTGGCCTCAAGTGATCCACCTGCCTTGGCCTCCCACAGTGCTGGGATTACAGGTGTGAGCCACCGTCCCCAGACTAAATAGTATCTCACTGCATGGGTATAATATCATTTATACGGGTAGATACATTTAAGAGTTTCCAAAGATCAAAGATTTGGAGTAAAATAGGGCAAATACATAAAATAATTCGAAGAGTAATTTTCCACAACTGATTTTTTCCCAGCAGCTAATTCATTTTATGTCTCATTTTATAGTCACAAACCCAGAACCTATTAAAAATTAAAATAAAAAATATAAAATTGAATTCTAGAAATACAATGATTTTAAAAAAGATTTCCAAAGGCTTTTTCTTTTTTTCTTTTTTCTTGAGACAGGGTCTCACTCTGTCGCCCAGGCTGGAGTGCAGTGACACAATCTCGGCTCACGGCAAGCTCCGCACTGCCCCCTCAGGTTCACGCCATTCTTCTGCCTCAGCCTCCCGAGTAGCTGGGACTACAGGCACGCGCCACCACGCCCAGCTAATTTTTATATTTTTAGTAGAGACGGGGTTTCACCATGTTGGCCAGGATGGTCTCGGTCTCTTGACCTAGTGATCCGCCTGCCTTGGTCTCCCAAAGTGCTGGGATTACAGGCATGAGCCACCACGCCTGGCCTTCCAAAAGTTTTTTCTTAAGAAAAGAAAGTAATGTGGAAGAAAAAAAAAGTTCTTGAAGATTTTTACATACAAAGATATTTTTGGTTGATTAATAACTAACTCAGATTTTGGGAGACTTGATTTAAAAATGTCAAAAGAAAAAAACAGTAGTAACAAAATAATAAAGGTGGCTGGGCGCAATGGTTCACACCTGCAATCCCAGCATTTTGGGAGGCTGATGTGGGAGGAATGCTTGTGCCCAAAAGTTTGAGACCAGCCTGAGCAAGATAGTGAGACTCTGTCTCTACAAAAAATTTAAAAATTAGCTGGGCATGGTAGCACGTGCCTGTAGTCTTAGCTACTCAGGAAACTGAGGCAGGAGGATCCCTTGAGCCCAGGAGTTCGAGGCTACAGTGAACCATGACGGCACCACTACACTTGCCTGGGTAACAGAGTGAAAACCTGTCTCAAAAAAAGAAAAAAGAAAATAATAAAGTTAAAAAAATGTCACCAATGATTCTTAAGCAAATCATTATTAGCATTTTGGTATATGACTTTCCAATCTTTTTTTGTTATACTTTCTCAATATTTGATCACAAAAATTTTCAGTTGTAAGACTGAAATGAATATTTATATACCCATAACCAAGCTTGCCATTAACTTTTTATTACATGTGCTTTATCACTTATTTATTCATCCTTCCAAACTTTTACAACAGAGTTGAAATTGTACTAATATAAAATTTTATGTCCTTATTAGAATAAGTGCATATAAATAGGCTCAAACTACTACATTAGTCTGTTAAAATAAAAGCAATCAACCCATTTATACTGCTAGCAAAGACATTCAACAAATCACAGGAAGTAGTAGTTTTTTGTTTGTTTTTTAAGTTCAAATTCAGGTTTGGGTATAGAGAATAATAACTCAATAAGCAAGGTCAAGTGGTAGAGAGATATCGGATAAGTTTTTTTTTAGCATTCATTATTCCTCTTGTTCAATATTTACGTTAAATTTCAAAAGAGGATCTTCAAAAATAGGAACATCATTTGACCAAGCTCACAGGAAGACACTGTAAACACAGCTTTACTTACTTTGTGATGACTGCCAAAATGATTCTATATATTGACTAGATGATCTGGTGGTTTTATCTAAAAAATAAAAAACAGTACACTATAAATAATATCCAACTTTTAGACTGTACATTTTACAAGACAACAGTGAGAAATTAATAAAAAGAGCAAAAATATTCGGGTAACTCCCAGGTGGTTAAAAACGTGGATGCATAATTTATTTAAAAAATTTCTAGGCTGGGTGCAGTGGCTCTTGCCTATAATCCCAGCACATTGGGAGGCTGAGGCAAGCGGATCACCTGAGGTCAGGAGATTGAGACCATCCTGGCCAACGTGGTGAAACCCCGTCTCCACTAAAAATACAAAAATTATCTGGGCGTGGTGGCGCGTGCCTGTAATCCAAGCTACTCGGGAGGCCTTAGGGCAGGAGAACTGCTTGAACCAGGGAGACAGAGGTGCAGCGAGCCGAGATCGCACCACTGTACTCCAGCCTGAACAAGAGAGTGAGACTCTGTCTCAAAAAAAAAAAAAAGGTTAAAAAAGTTTCTAAAGAGTCATGTCACATCTAAAATATTAGCTAATAACCACTTAAAAAATTGTTATGATACAGAACATGCCCCAAGGTAATGACATAATAAAACCTTTGAGTTGCGGAAAATTTTCAAAGTTTACAACAGTGGAGCATCTTGAAATCATTAATATCCATTTTTGCTTTAAATTTTTATTGCAAGTGGGCAATATTTTTGTATACTCTTTTTCTTTCTTTCTTCTTCTTCTTTTTTTTTAAGAGATGGAGTCTCACGTTACTGCCCAGGCTGGTCATGAACTGAAGGGATCCTCCTGCCTCAGCCTCCTCAGTATCTGGGACTATAGGTACCTATCACCATGCCTTGCTTTCAGTCTACTCTTCTTAAAAACATTTTTTCCCAAATAAAAGTAGAATTTATAACTAAATTAGTTTAAAAGTGATCAGGTTGCTGTTTTGGAAACAGACACATTGATACAAAAAGGTGAAGTGCCCATATTTTTTTTTTTTTTGAGATGGAGTCTCGCTCTGTTGCCCAGGCTGAAGTGCGATCGCGCAATCACAGGACCTGAGGTTTATGTACTTCCAAATAGTTATGCTGGTAGCAATGGCAGCAAACTATTGGCTATATAAATGGCTTAATTAACCTCTAATTTTTAGAGCTTCATGTAATATGTATGAACACTAATAACAGCACTTAGTGTTTACTATGTGCCAGGTAAGTGCTTTGCATATATGAATTAATTTAACCCCCACAACAATCCAGATGACAAGACTGAGGAACACAGAAGTTAAATAACTCTCTAAAGGCAAACAGCTAAAAAGTGAAGGAATGGAACCCAGAAATTCTAGCTAGACACTACCAGCGTGTTACAAATCTCCATTTCTGTATCAAGAATTCATAGGAAAAATGAGGAAGGGTGGGAAACACACAGAATACCAAATGCCCAACAACCAGCGTATAATGCCAGGCACGGTGGCCCACACCTATAATCTCAGCACTTTGGGAGGCTGAGGCAGGAGAATTGCTTAAGCCTGGGAGGTCGAGGCTGCAGTGAGCCATGATCGCATCACTGCACTCAAACCTGGGTGACAGAGAGAGATCCTGTCTCAAAAAAATAAAAACAAAAACCAAACCAGCTTATGTACTTATTTTTAAAGTGAAATGATGAGGTAAAGAATAGGAATTACAGGTCAGGCGTCGTGGCTCAGGCCTGTAATCTCAGCACTTTGGGAGGCAGAGGCAGGTGGATCACCTGAGGTCAGGAGTTTAAGACCAGCCTGGCCAACATGGTGAAATCTCATCTCTATTAAAAATACAAAAATTAGCCAGATGTGGTGGTGCGCACCTGTAATCCCACCTGCTTGGGGGGCTGAGGCAGGAGAATCACTTGAACCCAGGAGGCAGAGGCTGCAGTGAGCCGACATTGCGCCACTGCACTCCAGCATGGGTGACAGAGTGAGACTCTGCCTTAAAAAAAAAAAAAAAAAAAAAAAAGAATTGGAATTACAGAAATTTTAAGGAGGTGGTGAAGGGAAAGTGCAGGACTAAAGTATAAAATTACTCATTATTTACAGAGTTTACAAATTTGTTTAGCATTATCTTTTTTGGGGGGGAGGGTCTTGTTCAACATTATCTTAAGCCTCAAACTGGTATTTTTCTCTCTTTAGTCAACTCTTTCATTGAATAAACTTAAATTCACATAAACAATCAGAACTTGTTAATTAATAATTTGGTTTGAATTTGAAAATCCAGAGATAAAGCTAGTTATATAATTAAATGAAAACTTCCTAAAAGTAACACTCCAGATAGTGTTGTCAGTCCCAATGGCAATGTGATTAGTTTCTCTATAAAATTCAAAAAACAACAAGTAACTCTTCTTTTGAGCACAAAAATATCTTATTTTCCACAAATATCAAAAAAAGCTAAAAGTGATTTGTTTAGATATCATGACATAGTATTAATCGGATGAACACGAAATCAGTAATTTTAATAAATATTTAAAGAAAAATTCACGACTTTTTATAAAGTATTAATAAAAATTTGAAAGTTTTTTTTAAAAAGCAAATTCATGGAATACCAAAGATAGTTCTATGAGAAGAGTCATATGTATATAAAGCAATATTACCTCCAGATTCATCAGAATCCCTGGATCTGGCCTTAACAGTAGTGACACTGCTGTGAGAGCTGTCTTGATCATCTTCTTCAGTTTCTCCTAAAGAGAAGTAAACAATATACTAATATAGTCTATTTTAATGCTCAGAAGATCTGAATTTAAAAAAACCAAGCAAATAATTTAACATTAAAAGAAGCCTTTTAAGTTATCAGATATAGAACTACTGTTTGTTTATCATGCTTATTATTTTGAATCCCAAAGTTCCAAAGGAACTAAAATTTATCTCAATTTGTGTCCTCTGGGGCACATAATACTTTCCTAAACAAATATTCAGAGTAATATCTAAAAAACTATAAGGCTTTAATGTAGAGTCAAAAATGAACAGATGAGCGTTAAACAGTGGAAAAAGTTTATGGGGAGGAAAACTACATATAATTAGTGTGTAGTTAAATTCAGATGTGTATTTGTGTGTGTGTGTTGGTGGTAGAGGGGTAGTGTACACACACCTGCACACAAACATTCTATTATGCAGGTGACCACCCTCAGATTATGCTGAGCTTCAACAAAAACTAAATTTTATTCCTGTACTTTTCAAACATAAACTGGTTATGAGAATTTGGAAAACTGATTACTTTAATACCATAATAGAAAATATTATCTTTGCTTAAAATGAACCCAAATAGACAAAAGATGCTTAAAATGTAAGGCTGTCATCACTCATTCTATCTGTCCTATTATTTCTGCCCAGTTAACAGTTCAGATAAGCATGAATTTTTTTTCTTGAAGAAAAACACATTATTTTCTGTTCTAACTTCTTTTTGTTTTTTTTTTTTTTAAGAGATGGGCTCTCACTAGGTTGCCCAGGCTGGAGTGCAGTGGCCATTCACAGTTGCAATCCCACTACTGATCAGCACGGGAGTTTTGACCTGGTCCGTTTCTGAACTGAATGGATTCACCCCTCTTTAGGCAACATGGTGGTCCCCCGCTCCCGGGAGGTCACCATATTGAAGCCAAACTTAGTGCAGACACCTGATCGGCATAGTGCACTACAGACAGCCCAGAACTCCTGGACTTAAGTGATCTTCCTGCCTCAGCCTCCCGAGTAGCTGAGACTACAGGCATGTGCCACAGTCCCCGGCTCTGTTCCCACTTCTTAAATATCTATCAGAATGGCTTCTAATGTAAAGAAAAAGACTTAAAGTATATATTATATGATATTTACAAGTAAAATACCTTCTTCAGAGAAATTGACCTTCTGTTGGACACTGGTGGCTTCTAGAAGAAAAAAGCATACATCAAATATTAAACATATAACATCAAAAGTTAAAGCTTAGGAATAAACAAAAGCTTAGGAAAAAAGTTAAAGCTTAGGAATAAATAAAAGAGCATCTCGTTTAGGAAAATGAACATGAGGACACATTAAATAAATTCTTTTTCTGTTAAATCACTAAGAATTGGCCGGGTGCAGTGGCTCACGCCTATAATCCCGGCACTTTGGGAGGCCGAGGTGGGTGGATCACTTGAGGTCAGGAGTTTGAGACCAGCCTGGTCAACATGGTGAAACCCTGTCTCCACTAAAAATACAAAAATCAGCCAGGAGTGGTGGTGTGTGCCTGTAATCCCAGCTACTCGGGAGGCTGAGGCAGGAGAATAGTTTGAACCTGGGAAGCAGAGGTTGCAGTGAGCCGAGATCGCGCCACTGTATACCAGCCTGGGCGACAGAGCAAGACTCTGTCTCAAACAGAAAAAGGAAATGAAGTGTTTAATTTTCCTTCAGTCACAGGTCTATTTTTACTCTAAAATGTAACCTTTGTATGCAAAAAAAACATTAAATTCTACATTGACAAATATTCTAGTGTGTATAGGTTTGCTATATTCTCATTCTCTTATTTGCCAAATCCCCTATACTCCCTTTAAAAACCAACTACACTAACTGGACTGATAACCCAGTTCTTTCGAGCATTGGTGTATCCAAAGAGGAAGAAAGGTAAAGAAACTTCTAGTTCTGGCGGGTCCATGTATGTCACTGTTTTCCAGTGCAAAAGAGAATTTGAACAAAAATAAACAAGCAAAACACATCAAATAAACTTGGAACATAGTATTTTTACATGGGCTATTCTGAAACTTAAAAAAAAAAAAAATAGTGAGATGTACCCAAATGCAGGTATTTCACAATTGGGTTAAAATATCGCTGAAGGATCATATGTAGAGAAGTAGCATGATTTAGACTTCTTCAACAAAGCTGAGAAAATTTCAGCTTTTATCTCTACTGATTTTAACCTCAATTTGCTTATTAAAAGGGACAATAGTATTATAGAAAGCAACTGCTAACACATTATACGGTGAATTTGAAAATATTTATTTTAAATCCATTTAATTAGATTAGTATAATACTAGTCAAGCTTTGAGTTCCACTGAAAATACTTCCTCTTGACAGTGGCAAGTGCAAATCAGTATCTGAAATATATTTGCCAACATTTTTTTATTTAAAAAAAAAAACTAACCCAGAGAAAACTGCTGATAACACCATGTTACTCTTAAAGAGCTAGACTCTGGTGTATTAAGTACTATTTTGCTCTAGGTTTCTTAGGAACACTGTCCTTTCTTTTTCTCTTTTTTGAGGGAGAAAAAGGAAAAGTCAAACGAAAAAAATTTTTTTTAAGATTTTAATTTAAAACAAGAGATGGGGTTTTACATCATGACCAGGCTGGTCTCAAACTCCTGGCCTCAAGCAATCCTCCCATCTCCTAGCCTGTAATCCCAGCACTTTGGTCTCTTAAAGTACTGAGACTGTAATACAGGCATGAGCTCCACAGCTGGCCAAAAATTTTTAATTAATATTTCCATTCCTACAAAAAGGTATTGTTCTCTTTTTGAAGTTTTATTATCTAAGTGCATAATTATTATAGTACTTCATATTTTTGTATAGCAGTTTTACTTTATTCATTTATGTAACTATTCACATAGCATGCAAATACAAGATGCTTTCTTAAGAATCAATAATCATATTTTTGTTATTATCTTAAAATGCTAAGTCCTTAATATTTGCATGATGCTATTTGATTTTCAAAAAACCCTTCATGAATGTCATCTGATTCCCATCTCATCATAAGGGAAGATTTTCATAAGTAAGGTTCATAGATATCAAGTGACTTGTCTAAGGGTATAGGTCTAATTTAATAATAAAAAAAGCCAGAAGACCGCAGGTTCTTCTGACTTCCAGTCTATTACAATCCTACCACCTCATCAGTCTTGTTCATAACAGCACATAGTAAACACTCAATAATTTTTTTTTTTTTGAGACATGGTTTGGTTCTGTCGTCCAGGCTGGAGTGCAGTGGTGTGATCTTGGCTCACTGCAACCCCTCCCTCCCAGGCTCAAGCCATCCTTCCACCTCAGCCTCCTGAGTAGTTGGGACTACAGGCACATGTCACCACACCCTGCTAATATTTATACTTTTTGTAGAGACAAGGTTTTGTTTGCCATGTTGCCCAGGCTGGTCTCGAACTCTTGAGCTCAAGTAATCTGCCTGCCTCAGCCTCCCAAAGTGCTGGCATTACAGGTATGAGCCACTGCACTTGGCCAATTTTTTGAATAGATGAATAAAGAAACGGCTGACAGCTGAACTTTTCCTAATATGAGAGGTTCCAATAAACTTCTAAGTGTAATTCATGTAATACAGTAGGCTTTACTAAGGTCCCATTTATATTTCAGTGTTATGTTTTACATAGTTACTCTAAAAATTATATGGTAGACAAAACCTCTTTAACTAGGGCTGAATAGATTTTAGAATCTATAATAATGGAAAGGATATGTTGGAGATTTACATTCATTTGTTGAGCTATCAGAATAGTACAGTACAGTACACAGTACAGTAGTATGACTAATACAGTAATCCCTTTTTTCGATAGGTATGTTTTATCTGTATACATTTGAAGATATGTTTTATTTCTGTACACATTTGAAGTTCCAGGTCAATTTGTCTAGAGCCAATTCATTTAACAGTCATTTCTCCATATACCAAGTTGCCTAAAATTCAATCTTTTTTCTGCTTATCTATGTGTTATCTAATTAGCATGGAGAGATGGTTTAATAATTATTTTTTAGCCAGCTTACATAAGGGAGCTCCCCATTTGATTTTAATACTTCTAACATGTTATTATATTTGAAGTATCTAATAAATCATGGATTCTATCCATTTTTCAACACTTTTCAGACTTCTGGATTTAATCTAGTGACTAAAGATCCTTTTTTAGAATTCTATGTTCCTAACAATAAATATTTATCAATAGTATTCAAAACAAGAATAACTAGTTATGCAATGCTATCTTGATCCCATCACTAAAAACAAAAAAAGTACTATTTTGTGTTTTATAATCCAATAATATCTATGAATTAGATCTTAAATAATAATAATCCCCGTAGATTTGACAATCAATCATTATTGAATCAGGTTATCTACTGTCTTGGCTACAGATACATTTTAAAACAAGGTTTTCATTCTGGTAAACAAAGCTCAAGAAACCCAAGCCTGCTATGATTTCGAATGTCATTCTAAACATTATTTAACGTCTCAGATAAAGAATTATGGCTAGTGTGAGAGTATTGTCTGTAATATAAAAGACTTTAATTTCTCATATTGCATGCTCTCTAAAGGTAAAATGTCTATTATAAAGCAAACTGTAGTATTTGCAAGTCTCCGTCCTCATTCTGCCTGCTATTCATCCCTCAAAATTCAATCCAAATGTCATTTCCAACTCATAAAACCGCCTCAACCTCTTCCACTGAGTAGGGTGCTTCTCGTCTAGGATCCCGCAGACATATGTCACTATTTCAGCACTTAAAAAAAAAAAAGATTTGTAAACTTGTTTTTCTCTTCCATTACATCACGTACATCTAAGAGGTAGGAAAAAAAAAAAACCTGAATGGCTATTTATGATCCTAGCACTTAGGTCGGTCACTGACATAAAGAAGGTGTTTAAAAATGTTTGGCTGGGCATGGTGGCTCATGCCTTGTAATCCCAGCACTTTGAGGCGGAGGTTGCAGTGAGCCGAGATCACGCTCCTGCACTCCAGCCTGGGTGACAGAGTGAGACCCTGTCTCAAAAAAAATAAAAATAAAAAAAGTTTGTTCCATGAATAAAATAGATTTTATGATTATAGAATAAAGATGTTAAGTCCAGATTTTTGCTAATATTTCTCATACTATGATTAACGTTACTTAGCAACTTAAAAAGTCTGAAATTAGTGCTTAATAATTAGATACCTGCAAGGTTTTAAACATTCCACCTTTTTACCCAAGCTGCAAAGAATGGAAATAAATATTTAAGTGCGATCTGATGATGAATCAGTAGCCATGACTACATAAGCTTTAATTTCATTTCCCTCTTTTGTTTTTCACCTACCTCTATTTTAAACTTGGCTGCTACATGTCGAAAGTTAAAGCATTAGATTTTGTTTTTTGTTTTTGTTTTTTTTTTTGAGACAGAGTCTCACTCTGTCACCCAGGCTGGAGTGCAGTGGTGCAATGTCGGCTCACTGCAACCTCTGCCTCCCGGGTTCAAGTGATTCTCCCGGGTTCAAGTGATTCTCCTGCCTCAGTTTCCCGAGTAGCTGGGACTACAGGCTTGTGCCACCATGCCCGGCTAATTTTTGTATTTTTAGTAGAGACGGGGTTTCGCCATGTTGGCCAGGCTGGTCTTGAACTCCTGATCTCAGGTGATCCACCTGCTTCGGCCTCCCGAAGTGCTGGGATTACAGGTGTGAGACACCGTGCCCGGCCTCTTTTTTCTGAGACAAGGTCTCTTTTTGTCGCCTAGGCTGGAGTGCAGTGGCACAATCTCTGCTCACTGAAACCTCTGTGTCTTGGGTTCAAGTGATCCTCCAGACTCAGCCTCCCAAGTAACTGGGAATATAGGCACGTGCCACCACACCCAGCTAACAGTTGCATTTTTTTGTAGAGACGAGGTTTCGCCACATTGCCCAGGCTAAATTCCTGGGTTCAAGCGATCCACCTGCCTTGGCCTCCCAAACAGCTAGGATTACAAGCATGAGCCACCATGCCTGGCCTTAAAAAAATACTTTTTTAAAAAAGGTATTACTCTTCCCAATGTTCATACAGAAGCTTTGAGAATTAAAATCATATTTTGAGCAAAAAATCCTTAATATTAAAACATTATTAAAGAAATCATAAAGGCTGTGGCTTTAGCAAATATATAGACAAATGGTAATAATTAAACATGCTGTTTAAGAAGGTGTTATATTTTCCAGTAACCTCAACCAATTAGGAAAAGCTACTTTCAGAAGTCCGAGGTCTTTATGTTTAAGATAGATCACTTAACAGTCATCGCCTCTAGTGAAAACCAAGCATTAATTGTGCCACTTTGTTTACTTTCTTTTACTTGGCCAGTTTTTAAGGAATTCAAACCTTAGGTATAACCCGGCCTTTTACAACTTATAAAATTCCCTAGTTATTTTGAAAGCCCAGGTGCCAAAGCATCTACATTTCTCCTGTAGATTTTGCTATTCCTAGAAATTTGTGGGAGGTACTTGGTGTGAGGAGCAAAGGCCACTCAAGAAAACATAAACTTGGCTTACTTTGTGTTTTGTCTGGGGACAAAGACATGAAAATATAAATAAGACTACTGTGCTTTCTCAAAGGAATACTGGATAGAACACAGGAGTCATTGCTTCCTTCCTTTCTTTTTTTTTTTGAGATGGAGTCTTGCTCTTGTTGCCGACAGTGGAGTGCGATGGCACGATCTCGGCTCACTACAACCTCCACCTCCCAGGTTCAAGCGATTCTCCTGCCTGCCTCCCAAGTGGCTGGGATTACAGGTGCCTGCCACCACAATTGGCTAATTTTTTGTAATTTTAGTAGAGATAGGGTTTCACCATGTTGGCCAGGCTAGTCTTGAACTCCTGACCTCAGGTGATCCGTCCACCTCAGCCTCCCAAAGTGCTGGGATTACAGGCATGAGCCACCAGGCCCAGCTTGTTTCCTTTCTTCTTGTGCTCTGGGTACAACCTAGTATGGAGTGTTGTAATAAATATATGTTCGAGCAAGTATATAACTCCTGAATTTACTCTGACAACAAACAAATGACCATTTGCGTGATTTGTCGTCTTTATTCTTTTTTTTTTTTTTTTGAGACAGAGTCTCGCTCTGTCGCCCAGGCTGGAGTGCGGTGGCGGGATCTCGGCTCACTGCAAGCTCTGCCTTCCGGGTTCACGCCATTCTCCTGCCTCAGCCTCCCAAGTAGCTGGGACTACAGGTGCCCGCCACTGCGCCCAGCTACTTTTTTGTATTTTTAGTAGAGATGGGGTTTCACCATGGTCTCAATCTCCTGACCTCGTGATCCGCCCGCCTCTGCCTCCCAAAGTGCTGGGATTACAGGTGTGAGCCACCGTGCCCGGCCTTGTTGTCTTTATTCTTGCCATCAGTATAAATCAGGGGTCAGCAAACTTTTTTTATAAAGGACTAAATAGTAGATATTTTAAGCTTTGTGAGTCACATAAGGTCTCTGTTACATGCTTTGTCTTTTTCAGCAGTGTAAAAATTCCTTCTTAGTTCATGGGCTGATTAAAAAGATTGTAGGCCAATTTCACCCAGAAGCGGTAGCTTGCTAACCCCTGGTACAGATAGTTTTAAGACTATCTGCTGGGCATGGTGGCTCATGCCTGTAAATCCCAGCACTTTGGGAGGCCAAGGAAGGTGGATCATTTGAGGTCAGGAGTTCAGGACCAACCTGGCAAACATGGTGAAATGCTGCCTCTGCTAAAAATACAAAAATTAGCCAGGCATGGTGTCATGTGCCTGTAATCCCAGCTACTTGGGAGGCTGAGGCAGGAGAATCGCTTAAGCCTGGGAGGTGGAGGTTGCAGTGAGCTGAGATCGCACCACTACAGTCCAGCGTGGGTGACAGATTGAGACTCTGTCTCAAAAAAGAAAAAAAAGACTATTTGATGCCAATCACGCTTTTGAGAACAGAGTCAAGAGTGGGGCAGCAGGAAAGAGCAAAGAATAGTCTGGTGGTATCACTAGTATTCAAGCTCCACGAATGGCCATTTCATAAACTCCAAGGTGTACTAACATTACTATAAAGGAATTGAAAAATGTCACTTTTTTTTTTTTGTTTGTTTGTTTGTTTGTTTTTGGAGACCAAATCTCGCTCTGTCGCCCAGGCTGCAGTGCAATGGCGCAATCTCGGCTCACTGCAACCTCCACCTCCCCGGTTCAGGCAATTCTCCCTGCCTCAGCCTCCCAAGTAGCTGGGATTACAGGTGCCCACCACCATGCCCGACTAATTTTTTGTATTTTTAGTAGAGACAGGGTTTCACTATGTTGGCCGGGCTGGTCTCAAACTCCTGACCTCAGGTGATCCACCCGCCTCGGCCTCCCAAAGTGCTGGGATTATAGGCATGGGCCACCGCACCCAGCCTCATTCTTTCTACTAAACCCACAGAAAATTACTTTAAAATGAAAATCTCTTTTTTAAATTTACAATCACACAAAAAAATGAATTTAAATAATATGACATAATTTCAGACAATAAAAAACAAAGTTTTTATTACAAGGTGCTTATAAAAATGCTCTAGCAAAGAGTGTTAGGTTATTTCAGTTCCAAGTTCTCTTTTTTAAAAAGTTTTTTTTTTTTTTTTTGAGACGGAGTCTCGCTCTGTCCCCCAGGCTGGAGTGCAGTGGCGCAATCCTGGCTCACTGCAAGCACCACCTCCCAACTTCACGCCATTCTCCTGCCTCAGCCTCCCAAGTAGCTGGGACTACAGGCACCCGCCACGATGCCCGGCTAATTTTTTGTACTTTTTAGTAGAGACGGGGTTTCACCATGTTAGCCAGGATGATCTCGATCTCCTGACCTTGTGATCTGCCCGCCTTGGCCTCCCAAAGAAGTTTTTTTTTTTGTTTGAGACAGAGTTTTACTCTTTTTGCCCAGGCTGGAGTGCAATGGCGTGATTGCGGCTCACTGCAACCTCTGCATCCTGGGTATAAGTGATTCTCCTGCCTCAGACTCTCAAGCAGCTGGGGTTACAGTGCACAGCACCACCACGCCTGGCTAATTTTGTACTTTTAGTAGAGACGGGGTTTTGCCATGCCAGCCAGGCTGGTCTTGAACTCCTGACCTCAGGTGATCTGCCCACCTCAGCCTCCCAAAGTGCTGGGATTATAGGCGTGAGCCACCACACCCAGCCTAAAAAGCTTTTTTAAGTCTCTAAAGAAGTGGCCTGAACTTAAGTGAAAGATGAATTAGAGGAAGGTACAATGATTTATAAAGAAAAATGAAGCGTTTCCCTTTTGGCTCATCTTCAAATTTAGAAAATAATTAAAATGTAAAAAAAACTAAGTCTAACAACATTCAATGTAGATTCATTTAAAACCACAAATCATGGTATGTCATGTCCTATAGCCAGGCAGACACTGAAATGAATTAAAACCCGTTCAACGAACGTATTACAGCAAAGGACACTGAACTCGCCGTGAACAACGTATCGAATTCACTTTCTAAATGAAGAAAGGGCCAGGTGTGGTGGCTCACGCCTACAATCCCAAAACTCTGGGAGGCCGAGGCAGGTGGATTGCTTGAGGTCAGGAGTTCGAGACCAGCCTGACCAACATGGTGAAACCCCATCTCTACTAAATATACAAAAATTAGCTGGGTGTCATGGTGGTCATCTGTAATCCCAGCTGCTTGAAAGGCTGAGGCAGGAGAATCACTTGAACCAGGGAGGCAGAAGTTGCAGTGGGCCAAGATCACGCCATTGCACTCCAGCCTCGGTGATAGAGCAAGAGCCTGTCTCGAGAAAATAAAAATAAATAAATAAATAAAAATAAAAAATAAAAATAAAAATCAAGGAGAAAGGCCGGGCGTGGTGGCTCATGCCTGTAATCCCAGCACTTTGGGAGGCCAAGTGGGGTAGATCACAAGGTCAGGGAGTTTGAAACCAGCCTGGCCAACATGGTGAAACCCTGTCTCTACTAAAAATACAAAACAAGTAGCTGGGCGTGGTGGTGGGCACCTGTAATCCCAGCTACTTGGGAGGCTGAGGCAGGAGAATTGCTTGAACCTGGGAGGCAGACGTTGCAGTGAGCCGAGATCGCACCACGGTACTACAGCCTGGGTGACAGAGCAAGGCTCTGTCTCAGAAAAACAAAAACAAAAAATAAATCAAGAGAAAAACCTTAATTGGTAAGTTGTTATCTCCTTTTTCCTAATAGTGTGAATTTAATGAAGACTAGCAGGACTAAATTGATTACATGTTTTTATATGAATTTAAGCAATAATATAGGCATAATTATAGACAACAAAAACCAAGGCTGTTTATGGGAGGTCCTAGTCATAGGGACTGGGTCCCCACAAACTGACATAATAAATTAGTATTCTCAAGCCAATGACTAGATATATATACTCTTGTATTCTATTAATCTGGACCCTCAAAGAGACCTTGTAAGAATTAGAGATAGGGTTGGGCGCAGTTGTGCATGCCAATAATCCCAGCACTTTGGGAGGCCAAAGCGGGTGGATTGCTAGAGCCCAGGAATTCGAGACTAGCCTGGGCAACATGGTGAAACCCCATCTCTATAAAAAACACAGGAATCAGCCAGGCATGGTGATGCATGACTGTAGTTCCAGCTACTCCAGAGGCTGAAGTAGGAGGCTCAGTTGAGCCTCCAGAGTAGCTGGGACTACAATAGGAGGAGGAGGCTGCAGTGAGCCAAGATCACGCCACCGCACTCCAGCCTGGGTGAGAGTGAGACCCTGCCTGGAAAAAAAAAAGAATAGAAATAAACGAACATAATTCACTCATTTTAGTATTTCTATTTGTTTTGTATGTCGAATCTGCAAGAGACATAGCAAGAGAATGATTAGGGTTGAAAAGGAAATGCATCATATGGTTCTTTACCACAGGTTCATTAACAAAACCTTAGTAGATCTTTACCACTGGAATACTTAAAAGGATAGTCAACTATCTATCGAAATAAATCAACATCATTCTTTGATAAAGAGAATGGGAAGGTACAGAAGCCTAATATAAAGATAAATACATTTCCTTTTTAGTTCCCATGATAAAGCATCTTTAAGAGCCAAAAAAACAAGGAAAATGAAGTAAAAGTAGACTGCTTGGAGTGTCTTTACTAGTTTTCTTCATAGTCATGAAATCAATTTCAGGGCAATACTTTTAATCGTTTTAGTCAAAAAGATAACTGAGGGAGGGACATTTTGTCGTTCTGTGCCACAGAGCTCCAGCTTGAATTTTTTGTTAGCAGTATACTGGAAGAATAAAGTCCCTGACCATAGTTTAAAATCATCATAAAGAATCACAGGAATATATAAGAAACAATCTCTTTAAAAAAGGAAGCTTTTTATATATGAATATAGAAATATCTCTGTATATATGTTAAGTAAAAATAAACAAGAAAGTGCAGAAAAGTAAGCCAGGTGCCGTGGCTCATGCCTGTAATCCCAGCACTCTGGGAGGCTGAGGTGGGTGGATCACTTACCCAGGCGTTTGAGATCATGTGGGTAACATGGCAAAACCCCATCTCTACAAAAGATACAAAAATCAGCCAGGCGTGGTGGTGGATGCATAGTCTCAGCTACTTGGCAGGCTAAGGCAGGAGGACTGCTTGAGCCAGAGAGATTGAGACTGCAGTCAGCCCTGGTTGTGCCACTGCACTCCAGCCTGGATGACAGAGCGAGATCTTGTCTCAAATTAAAAAAAAAAAAAAAGACAGAAATGAGAGTTTATAAAGCCAAAATTTGTATTATAAAAAGGACAAGATAATTTCATCCATGAATTTCTGTAAATCTCCAAAAAATATAAACTGACAACATTGGTTGCTTTTGATGAAGAGAGACTGGCTGGCTGAATGACAGAGGGGACAGGGAGATTTTTTAATGTATATTTACAGTAACTTTTAAGTTCTGAATCATATGAATACATGTACAACCATATTTAAAAATAAAACTGTATTTATAACAAAGGTAAACCAACAGACAAACAATCTCTTACCATATCTTGGGTATCTTAGAGGGGGTCGACGTAACCTGATTACAAGATCTTCACTCACTGCTAATATAGGAAGAGAAAACATTTAAAAATATATAAAATGTGAAACATACTAGCTTTATTACATGATCATCCCTTATTTATTCAACAAAGGTTTACAGAGCTTTTATTTACGCTAGAGAAGTAGAGACAAGCTTTCTAAGTGACAACTGTTGCGAACTAGTGATGATAGTGAACTAGAGACAAGTTTCCTGCCATATAAAATTTATAGTCTTGATGGAGAAATTTGCATTTTTTCTCAGCAAACCGTAGCTGTAGGAAGGAAAGAAATACTAAATAAAATTCTTCTAAATTGCTCAATTAAGAACCAAAATCTGTATTATGGTACCAACTCAATTATCTATTCCATTTGTGACTGACCCTCATTGTGGATTATTTATGGAATATTTTAATTTTAGGGTTAACATCCTGAGATTCAATACGCTCATTCTATTTAACCTTGTGTTGAAGAAATGCAAATTAATTTTAAATAAAAACATTAATGTGGGCCAGGGTTTATTTTAGACCATCTATAGTTCAATGGCATAGGGATAGCGGAGAAGCCGATCCTATTAAAATGTTAATTTTAGTCTAGAAAACCACCTATAAAAGTATGTTTTCTCCAAGTACCTCACATAACATGTTCTAAAACCAAATATTTATCAAAATTTGGATTCTATTATGTTTTGTTTCATTCATCTGTATAAAAAAGCATTATGTCTTAGCTCTGAGTTGCAAAAAACACATTCTGGAACTTTGATGATCCCCTTAAATATTCCAGCTCTAAAATTCTATGAAATATCTATCTCAGTATTTCACACATCAAGTATTTAGAACTTATATCGATATCTTTAAAAAATAAATCTTGCCAGCCTAGGCAACATACTGAGACCCTGTCTGGGCATAGTGGTGTGTGCCTGTAATCCCAGCTATTTGGGAGGCGAAGGCAGGAGGATGATAGCTTGAGTCCAGGAGTTTGTGGCTGCAGTATAACTGCACTGCACGCCAGCCTGGGTGACAGTGAGACCCTGTCTCTTTAAAACAAAAACAAAAACCCTGCACACATGATAATAAAGGCAAATTTTAGTTCCTGTTACTCCACATATTACAACTACCTTCCTCTTTTTCTTCTCTATACTTCTAGCCTTTTCAGGTTTAATTAAAACCTAAAATCTGTTTTTGGTTTGTCTGCTTTTACTAAGCTATGTTTAATCAAACTGACTCTACAGACATCAATCACTACTTCAGTTCCCATCTTTTCATTTAAGAAGCATTTCCTGCATGTGCTACTATATACATATCCCATAGCCAAGTAAAGTACTTGAAAGACACAGGGTACCAGAGAGAGGTATGAGAGAACAAAATATCAAGTACCCTTCTTTGGTAGGAGGCTTCCTCACTTGTCTGCTTTTGTTCACCACTGCACCCTCAAATCAAAGCATGGAGACTGGCCCAAAGTAGGTGCTCAATAATTATCTGGAGAATGAATGCTCTAACTACAGCAGCTAGAGAAGCAAATGTTCATGATAAAATAGTAAGCATTTAAGAACAACTATCTGATTGTTTAGCTAGAAACCACACTAGTAGAACAAAAATACCCATTTAACTTCTGGAAAAGTAAATAGAATTTGTCCTAATATATTTTTGGATTATAAAATTAGTGTCATAATTTCCAGAAAGAAATGAATCTGGCCATAGGAGAATAACTGTTATGTAGGTATATATAACCTGAATTGATTAAACAACCTAACGGCTATTTTAAGTGAAAACAACTCAATTATGGAATTTCAAACAATGAGAAGATTTCAAACTATATTCCTGTTCTGAATTAATCAACATTTTCAAGTCTTCCAATAACAAGATAACCAAATGATGTAGATATTTTTACTATGTTGTTTTATAAGGTGGTCCTTTGGTTTAGGTATTTTTTTTTTTTAGACGGACTCTGGCTCCATCACCCAGGCTGGAGTGCAGTGGCATGATCTCGGCTCACTGCAACCTCCGCCTCCCGCGTTCAAGCGATTCTCCTGCCTCAGCCTCCCGAGTAGCTGGGATTACAGGTGCCCACCACCACGCCTGGCTAGTTTTTGTATTTTTAGTAGAGATGGGGTTTTCACCATATTGGCCAGGCTGGTCTCGAACTCCTGACCTCGTGATCTGCCCACCTTGGCCTCCCAAAGTGCTGGGATTACAGGCGTGAGCCACCATGCCGGGCCTAGGTCTTTATTCGTAAGGGCATCTTTGCATAATTTTCTGTCAGACCACACCGGTAGCCTTATATACAATTATAGCACTATTTTGAATATCAAAGTTAAACTGAATGTCTATCATTCTATGAGGAAGAAGGGCTTATCTTTACCTTAAACTTGTACTTAAAGCAGTCCTCCATCAAAGAGTGACTCCATTTAAATAATTTCTCTTAGACTTTATAAGCATTTAATAATTCCCTAAACTCTCCTTTCATTAAGAGGCATGGGATGGGAATATGCCAAGTATTAGATGTAGTATAAAAGCACCTTTTAGAGGAAGAAAACCCTGAGTATCTCAAACCTCTCAAAGACAGACATACTCTTATTTCTAGTAATACTGAAGGCACAGTATGCTATTGATACAGTCCAGGTAATCTATGTGCAGATTCCATTTAATCTGTCATTTATATTGGTAAACATTTTCAATTTCTATTTATAGCATAAGCTTCTTGAGAAAAAGGATACACTTAAGCAAAATTGTATGAACTTCACATCTCTTGTAAAGGGCTATGAGAAAAAAAAAACCTCACTTGCATGTTTTACCGGGTACAAAGTGATTTCAAATGTACTATCTCATTTCTTCAGAGGCCCTGTGAGTTATGCAGGGCAAATAACACAGGTAAAGGCCTAAGGCTCAAGATGAGTGAGTAACTTCACTGAGGTCCAATGCTCTTGCCACAACCTCATGCAGCCATGGTGTACCTCATTAGCAGTTCTTAAATATGAGCCTAATATAAACTCCAAAAAGACTATTCAAGACATTCTATTACTTAATAGTTTTATAATGGTCCGGAGGCTAGCACTCAGTAGTCTTCATTATACCAATTTACTTAACTCCATAATTTTTATAAATTACTCTAGATTTAAAATTAGACATTTTTGCTTTCCCAGGTATACAATAAAATCTACTGCAAATAAATTCAAGATTATGGTTTTCCAAAATGGCCCAGAAAATCTGATTATATCATCATTATTCAAAGCATTTTTCTAAGATAGTTTATAATCTTAACACAGTAACATAGACTATTCAAGGAATATAGGACAGGCCAGGCGTGGTGGCTGATGCCTATAATCCCAGCACTTTGAGAGGCCAAGGCGGGTGGATCACCTGAGGTCAGGAGTTCGAGACCAGCTTGGCCAACATGGTGAAAACCTATGTCTACTAAAAATACAAAAATTAGCCAGGTGTGGTGTCAGGCGCCTGTAATCCCAGCTACTCAGGAGGCTATGGCAGGAGAATTGTTTGAACCTGGGAGGTGGAGGTTGCAGTGAGTGGAGATGGCACCACTGCACTCCAGCCTGAGCAACAGAGCGAGACTTTGTCTCAAAAAAGAAAAAAGAAAAAAAAATTAGCATGAAGGTGTTTTTATTTGAAACTCAACTTGAACCAGACATACTTATTCTAAGTTTAGAATACAATAGCTCACATTATAAAGCATAATCTTATTAGAAACAGGTAAATAAGTCAGGATCTGGGTACTAAAAACCAAGGATTATCAGTTTTAACAGCTATGATTGTTTATTATTGTGAGACTTTCCTAATATCAAAAAAAGCAAATTGAAAATTAAATGGAACTAAAACCCAAAGCATTAATAACTGGACTTGATCCCTTCTCCAGCTTTTTAAAATATTTTAATCAGCTTTTAAAACTTAAGTGAACTATTAAATGTAGCCTACTTCCATGTTACATTGATTCTGACAATTTTTTTAAACACTTTAACATCTTTGAAATTGGGATGCATCATATAATTATGGCATATTACTACAAATTACCAAAAAATTGGCAGCATTTTCCCTTGCTAGGTGGTACATAAAACAATGATGGTGTTTCTTATAGTCGATAGCATCTTAAGATTTGATAAACCACAGTATTAAACTGAAAAGACTGATCACACTGTGTCAAGATTTTACCATGAAGAAAAGTTAATCCATTTTAAACACAGGGCAGTATAACATATTCATTCATTTGACATTGAACAAATTTTACTGAGTAGCTAGTTATGACATGAGAGAATGATAGTGAGGCACTTGGGGGGAAAGTAAAAGGGCTCTGGAGAAGACAAACCTGGGTTTGAATTTTGGCTCAGTCACATATGTGATCTTACAGAATTGTCTTAGCTTCTCTGTGTTTCAGTTTTCTCTTCTATGAAATTGGTATAATACCTATCTTACAAGGTTATATGGGTGGCTGGTACTCTTGAGTACTCACGTGTCTGCCCTTGTCTTTTCTTTACACATACTTACATTGTTTAATTCAATGAACATTTAAAAAGTTGGTAGGTAAGGAGAAAAACAAAAAGTTAACTATTCTTACCTGGAGCCTCTTGTATGCTCCTGACAGTTTTCTTTGAGATCGTTTGGCTTAAATCAGTTTGGGAAGATGCTTCATCCTCTAAAAAACAGACATAACAAGAGTTAAAATTCAGAATATATGACCTGGGAGATCATGGCACAGATTATGCATTTTTGTAACAATACATAAGCAAAAATTCAAGAAATTCGTTTCTTTAGAAACAGGTGGTTAGGTTTACCAAAACTTAGGAAATATACCAGTCAGAACTCCTCTTGAGACAGAATACAATGAATTCAACAGAATATAATAATATTTGCCATTGTTGTTTTACAAAAATATATTACTTCAGAAAATCAAAAAGATGGGGTAGAGAGTCACAAATGATGTGGAAGAAAGCAGAAGAGTGAAAAATGTTTAGATCCTTAAAGATTTAATAAAATAGGGGTAAATTCTTTACTTGTTAAAAAAAAGTTAGCCTGTATAACTGCACTAGGCTCTGTGGAACTCAATACAATGTAACATATTTTTTGCCTACCATGTACAAAGCATTCTTCCAGGTACTGAAAAATACTGAATTAAACCAAGTACTTAAATTACTATCAAATATATTATAGGCTCCTTGTCTGCAAAAACTTTGTAATCTTAAAAGAGATAAAACTAACACATATATGGGCTAAACTGTCTTCAGTTGCTACACCCAAAAATAACTGACATAACTTTAACATAAAGTTTCCAAAATCAAGTCTTCAAATCTGTCAGTACCTTCACGAGTCAGCAGGTAAACTTGCAGCCTATCACCGTGCTCTAAGCTGAAAACCCACTCCTCCGCCTATCAATAGTCTACCACAAACTATGTCATCCCATTGTGACTCAGGTCCGCTGATTTTTACCTCACAGGTGCCTTACATGGGATTAACATGAAACTTCATCTGTGACTCAGTGTTAGGTCCTAAAATGGGGGGGGCAGGGTGGGAGAGGATAGATTAAGGAAACTGATTCACCTATGACTTACCTAACACTATACACTCACTTTGTCAGCATCCCTTTTGTCCATTTAGACGAAAACTCTAATTAATAGTCTTGTTTTTCAGGTTACTTTGTCAGTCTGATTTGCCAGACTACTTGAGGTTACAGTGACGGCCACCAAAGTGGCAGATTTTTGGCAGGGACCACCACACTGGAGAAACAGCAATCAGCTCAAGTTATCAAACACTGGGGAACATCAGTTCAGGAAAAATGAGTTACCCCATTTCGGTGAAAGTATTGGGTGAGGTCTCAAATCAATTCACTAAACTCAGCAATCCCTCGAAATGCCCACTCACAAAATTTCTCCTTCCTCTCTGCCCACCTGGGTGAGGAGGGAAAAAGACTGAAAGGTTAGATCCTCAGCTGGGGACTCTGGCCCGCGAGCGTTAAAGAAGGAAATGGAAGTGGTTTCTGTAGAAACATCCGCAGGGTAGAGGGAACCGAAATGAAACCGACCCTGCAGTAATTCGCTGTCCCCTCGTGAAGGCCTGCAGAAAAAGGCAGCTCTGACTCCCCTAAATTGATGCCCGATGTTGGGCAGAGCGCCCCAGCCCTGCCCGGGTCGCTCCACACGACCATCTTTCCACTCCTCCGGTCGGCGCTTCCTTCCCCGCTGCGGGTCAGGGTGGCCCTTGCACGGCGGCACAAGTCCAGAGGGGGCTGAGGAATACCCTTTAGCCAATCCCAGTACTTAGTACCCAGGCGGGCATGAGCTCCACCGAGGCGCGCGCCCGCCCCCGCGCGTTCCCTGGCTCGCGGCTGGGACTGTTACCTCCGCGGTCCTCACCTTCAGAGGAATGAGAGTCCCGCAGCCCTCTCCTGGTCATAACAGGAGACGGCTGTAGCGGAGGCTGCTCTGAGTGCTGCTGCTGAAGGCGGGTAGTCCTTCGCGTCTTCATTTCCTCGGTTTCCTGGGGTCGCGGCTGCCTCCGCTGCCTAGACCGAAGGTAGTACGCGCTTTCTCTCACTTCCTCTTTCGCAGAATCGGACCGGAACTCTTCTAGCCGGGTTCGTTTTCCCACCGGGGACCTTTCTTTGGCCACCAGGGGCTCGAAGTCGCCGTACACTTCTGGCGGCTCGTCCGAGAACCTCACTTCCCGCCGGCCCTGGCGCGACGGAGGAGTTCTGTACGCAGGCGCATCGCTGCTGCCGCCATTTTGAGGGGCGAGCCGGCCCCTTCCCTCTCGGATGGGGGCCCTGGGGGTGACGTACACACCCCATCCTTCCCGCACCGCCTCTGCCCGCCGCCCGTCGCCCGCCATAGTTGTTGACGTAGCTTTAGTCGATCGCGAAGATGGCTTTATGGACCCTAGGTTCTCCTGCCGGTGGTGGCGATGGCTTCTCGGGGGTGTTGGGCGGTGGCCGCTGTGGTCAGGGAGGCAGTTGCGAGTCGCTGGGGCCGCCGCCTGCGTCGTCGCTGCTGTGTAGCAAACCTGCCTCTGGGCCCATGGTGTGTCTTGAGGGCTGTGAGAGAGGCAGTGCCTGAGCTGGGTCAGCTGCTGTGGATCGCTCCCGCCTCCTGGCTGGAGGCACCAAAGAGGAGGAGAAGGGGGAGGAGGACGTCTCTGCCATCGCCCTTAAGTAAAGGAGGGGTGGGGGCGATAGAAGGATGGCAGGGCAACTTGCCTGTCCTAAGTCTAGCCGCTCGTGGCAAGTGTTGACTGCGTGTAGGAGACTCCCGTCCTATCTCCCAGTACCAAGTCTCGGGGAAAAGGAGTGCGACGAGGGTGGAGAAGACCCAAGTTTCGCTTCTCGGCCCCAGGCTGTTGCGCAGTTTCCCTGGAATCTTTTTGATCGACTGCTACGTTGACCATGTCCTTCCCAGTGTCCTTAGCAGGAGTGATGGCCAGAGAGAGAACTTTTGCACATGCCATGTTTTCGTGGCAAAAATTTTAGTTTCAAGTACCTTATGAGGGCGGTTACCTAGTTTTGAATTTTGTCACTTGTTGAGGGTGTACAAAATCCTATCTAGAGTCATACTCGTTGGATGTATTTTCTTTTCCGAAATGTACCCATAGGACACATAACCTTATTCCTGGTCTTTAATATTTCTCGGTTTTATACCAAGCAGCAGTGTTCGGAAGACCATGTTAGTGCTACATTGTGCACAGTGAGAAATGAACAAGTTTTTTAATTAAAGACAGCACTGTAATTTTAAGTTGTGATCCATTATTTTTACTTTTATTCTGGATGTGACGTGATACTCTACATTTGATTTAGAATGCTTTATGGACTTTATGGAATAAGAAAGCATGGTAAAATCTATTTGTTTCACCTCCTTATACAAATGTTTACAGATGTGGCTAATCTGCAAATACCTAACCAAATTTAGACACATTCAGAGAAGGTCGATTAAGTTCGTGTAAAGTCTGAATAATTATTGAAAGAAAGCTTAAATTGCCTTCAAATATACAACTGCTTGTAGGGCTTTGTATGATTGGAGTGAATAGATTTAAAAAATTGTAATTTGGATACCAGTTACAATGAGCGATTCTGAAAAGTTTGAAGGTGTTTGTTTATTCTTCCAAGTAATCACCTTAAAATGTTTTTGAGCAACTCATTTGTTGCTCAAACTTGGCACAAATTTCAACTACTTAAGTCGTAATGTGTACTATGTTTTTATTTTATTTTTATTTTTATTTTATTTTTTTTGAGACGGAGTCTTGCTCTGTCACCCAGGCTGGAGTCCAGTGGCGCGATCTCGGCTCACTGCAACCTCTGCCTCCCGGATTCACGCCATTCTCCTGCTTCAGCCTCCCCAGCAGCTGGGACTACAGGCGCATGCCGCCACGCCCGGCTAATTTTTTTGTATTTTTAGTAGAGACAGGGTTTCACCGTGTTAGCCAGGATGGTCTCGATCTCCTGACCTCGTGATCCGCCTCTCGGCCTCCCAAAGTGCTGGGATTACAGGCGTGAGCCACCCTGCCCGACTGTGTACTATGTTTTTACTAATATTGTCCATAAATTTGGCCACAGGCAGGAGGAATTACAGTTTTAGAGTGAGATAAGGTTTGGCCTGTTAGGAGCTTAGTTTACTGTAGCTTTATGTACAATATAGCTTTTAAAAACTGCAGTAACAAAAGAGAGACTTCTTTCTTTCTTTTCTGTCTCTCTTTCTTCTTTCTTCTTGTCTTTTAAGGAAAAATGAAAAGGATACTCTTCCTTGTCAGTCTGGATTAGATGGTATATTTCGGAAATTAGCTAGATTTACTCTTCCAACAAAATGCTCAAAAGTATTGATATGGTAATACGTGGCTTTTATTTATGTTTTAAGCAGGGCTTTCTCTTTAAAGTGGCTATTACATTACTCATTAGTAACACAATAGTATAAGTTCCTTAATAGATTTAATTATTAAATATAAATTTTATAGTAATATATTGAGTTCATATTATGAACATTAAAGTCTCCTTGAAACATTTTACCAAGACAGATGACTATGTAGAAACTGGGATACTAGCTTATAAAACTTGGATACAGGCTTGTAAAACTTAGGTTTGAGGGACAAATTAAAAAAGAGACAAGAGATTCTACATATTGAACAATCAGAGGAGAGGTTCTGCATATTATTGAATAATCAGAATATGCATATTTTGTAATTAAAACTGCTTGTAAAGGCTTAGGAATGGCCTTTCAACTAAATTAATGAGACACTTACTGTAAAATTAGAGGTATGGTAACTTTAATGCTAACACACACACACACACACACACACACACACACATATATATATGCATCGGATTTTCCCTCTCATCTAGGTTGTAAGCATAAGGAAACCTACCTCTACTGTGACTGCCTCCTTCACCTAGAAACCTTACAGATACGAAACTTTCATCACTAGCTCTGAGGCAAAGCTAAACTGTTATGAAACTAGATACTCTGCTGTAGCTATTATCCAGACTATAAGAGTGGCTGAAAAGAGGTGACATTACAGTGACAGTAGAGTCATAGCCAATATTATAAGGGATGCGCTGGGCCACTAAAAAAGGATGCCTCAGCTCTGGATATTAAAGTTACTTTGGGAATTTGAGAAATCTGGAGGAATTCAGTGACCCAAAAAAGAAGACCGGTAAGAAAAGAAATGATTAAAACAAAGAATACACTTAATAATTCATTTACTTATCAAACGTGTGCCAGCAATGAGGAAGACTATCTTTAGGGAATTTGTCATTTATTGGGAACGACAGAAACACGAAAAATTACAATTCAGATTAAATGGCATTAATTCACACACTTAACTATTAGGGCTAGGTCTGGAAATCCTGTGCTCTTGAGACTGGGTTCCTAAATCAGTTATTTTATTTCATTTTTAATTAATTTATTTATTTAGAGACGGAGTCTCGCTCTTTCGCCTAGGCTGGAGTGCAGTGGTGCAATCTCGGCTTACTGCAGCCTCCCCCAACTCCAGGTTCAAGTGATCCTCCTGCCTCAGCCTCCCGAGTAGCTGGGATTACAGGTGCCTGCCACCATGCCCAGCTAATTTTTGTATTTTTAGTAGACATGGATTTTGCCATGTTGGCAAGGCTGGTCTTGAACTCCTGACCTCAGGTGATCCATCCGCCTTGGCCTTCCAAAGTGCTGGGATTACAGGTGTGAGCCACCACGCCTGGCCAAAATAATTATTTTAAATGAAACATTTTAGAACAATAAATTTTTTGTACAGGAACTTTTTGCTTTAGGGTAAGCAGAAGTTCATTTATTTAAAGAGATAAATCTATCCGTTGTGACTTAGTAGTACAAATGAAGTAGGCAAACAATTTTAATAAGGAAAAGATGATTAAAATATTAAACAGGAGGAAGTTAATTAAAGACATAGTAGCTGGCTCCATTTATTCCCCAGTCTTACAAATGATAGAAAAATATTTTAATGACAATACAAATGAAAATTCCTGGAAATGTTATACTGAAATTAATTAAACACAATAAAGTGAATGGAATATAGTATTCTTTTTGTTGAATTAGGACTTGCAGTTAATTATTAAACACCATCCAAGAGTGTTACCAAATCCTGTCACTTCTGCCAAGAGAGGGTGATTGAGAAGTGAAGGCACCAAAAATCACATTAAATGAGGAATTATTAATTCAATAAATACTTGAGCTACTGTGTAGTAGGCAGTCCCTGTTCTCTGTGCTGGGGATACAGCAGTGAACAAAATAGACTAAAAGACAAAAAATGTTTCCTGCCTTCTTGGAGATTATATTCTATGGGAGGAGTCGGGCAAAAATCAAAATAAGTAAAATAGTGTGTTGGTCAGGACTGTTATGGGAAAAAAAAGAGGAAAGGGGAAGGGAGTTTTACATGAATAGATTTCTTCTTGAAATTTGGTTAGATTTGTCCTGAATTGCTGTAGGTCAAGAACAGGAATTTTAGACTTACTTCATTTTTCCCCCAACAAATTGTATGTTCTTGGGTAAATTGCTCGCCATCTCTTAATTTTCACATTTATAAAATTAGTAGATCAAAACAGCTATTTTTTGTCACTACTGTCATTTAACAGAAATGCTGCATACGTCATCTAATCTACTAATAACAAACTTATGAGGTAAGTAACGTTGTCCCCATTTGACACACGAGCAAACTGAGGTTTAGATTAGGCAACTCATTGGATTACATGCTCCTCTTAATGGCACAGAGGGTGTGTTCCAGGACATGGTGCTTGCCATTATCATTTGGTACTGCTGCTCACTGTGTTGGTCCTATGAGTTTCTTCAGTCTATGAATTTCAGGTCAGGGTGGTCGACGTCTTACAGAGATGCCTGTAATCCTGTCAGCATGAGATTGCATGGGACCTCTGCGGTTTGGTCGCGCATTTACCGCGCCTGTCGCTGGGTCAGACGACCTGGCAGTAGAGGGTGAAGGATGGAGAAGGCAGAAGGCAGGGCACGGAGACTACTAGTCCCAGGATTCCACGGGCGCCTTCCGGCGGAAAGTGTTTGTCATATGGGCGGGGACCCTGGACGACATTCGGGCCGCGGCGGCCGCTGGGTGCAGCCGAGCGGTGTGGAGCGGAGAGAATACTCGAAGGGCTCTCCTGATACTAACAGTTTTACGATTTAAAACTTCGCCAGAATTTGTAAGTAAACAAAATGACTATGCAGCTTTTCCATGTTTTAGTATTGAAACTGATATCTTGAATTTTTGAAAAGGACTTTCAGAAACGGTCCCTCCCCACCCCCACCTTCGTACCGCACAAATGGTATTTTTATTTTTATTGTTTTTGAGACAGGTACTTGCCCTGTCACCGAGGCTAGAGTACAGTGGCGTGATCATAGCTCACCACAGCCTCATACTTCTGGGCTCAAGGGATCCTCCCGCCTCAGCCTCCCAAGTAGCTGGAACTACAGGCCCGCACCACCATGCCCTACTAATTACTTTATTTTTTATTTTTATAGCGACAGGGTCTCACTGTATTGCCCAGGTTGGTCTCGAACTCCTGGCTTCAAGCGATTCTCCCACCTCAGCCTCCCAAAGTGCTGGGATTACAGGCGTGAGCCACCACGCCTGGCCTCACTCAAACAGTAAACGAGGTAGGTTGGGGGTATATTTTTGTTTTGGGATAAAAAGAAACTGAATCTTATAAATATTAAATGGGTTAAGATGTGAGTAAATTTTTGGGTTTAGACTTTAAGGTGAGAAGCCGAATTATTTTAGGGTTCGAAATGTGAGTGGGAAATTTGCCTACTAGTGTAGGCGGCGATTACTCCATTCCCAACATGCCTAGGTTCTCGACATTCATAATCTTAATCCTGAAAAGATAATACTTAAAAAAAAAAAAAATTGGTGCTAAAAAGGGCAAAGTTGAAGTTTTAGTAAGACCTCCTACCATTTTGCTTACATATTATATATGTACCATTCTCCCAATTGTATTTAATACCTGATGAAAAAGTTTGTGCCTTTTCCTTCTTTTAACAAATTTCATAGTACTCTCTACTTTATGAGTAATGCTTAATTATCAGACTTTATACTGTTACACAGATCCAGAAATGAGTTACATAGATTAAACATACTGGCTTTGTTTTACCTGTCTTTAGGTTTTAACACATTTTATTTTGGATCTGTATGAGAGATCCTTTCTTTGTTTTAAGCTGTGGCAGTTATCCATGTTTTTTGAGCTTTTTTTTTTGAGCACAAGATGAGGATATAAAAGGCCAGTGGAAACATTTAATAAAAAAAGGAACTTCATGGTAGAGTAACTACAGATGTTTTTGGAAGACTTTGTGTGGATTAGAATAGTTTGAAAAACTAACATTTGTTATGAAAACTGAGTGCCTGTCTTCAGTAATGTTTATTATGCTGAACGTGCAGTCCACAACTTGATTACCTGTTTTTCTGCTGGTTTGTTACGCAACCTTGCGTGACTCATTTAAGAACTATTTTATCTAGTTTCTTTCCTAATGTAGAGGTAATGCTAGCTTGAGAGCTTCAATAATTTATAAATAAATTAACTTCAGAATGTAGCTAATTATTTGAGGATTATTGGGTGTTTTAATAATGTATTGTATCTTGTATATAACTTATTTTTGCCTAAGAAGTAATTTCTGTATTCCATTCATTTCCATGGAACACAGAAGTCAAAATTCTATTCCAGGAAAGTCCACACTTCTTTGAAGTGCCACTTGAATTTCCTGAAGGAATGTTTGCTTCAAAAAGCCTTGTCTGCTTTATCACTTTGAGGTTGTTCACTAAGTCAACTGTGAAGGCCCATAAACTTGGAGATTCGACAACTTCCAAAAAAATTTAAAGAATGAAGAATTGGCTGTTTTATTTACCATTTAGAATTTTGATTGTGTTAAAATTTCATTAATATTTCTACATCATATGAACTACTGGATTAAACTGTGTCCTACAAGAAGGAATTCATAGGGCGATCATATATTACCATAAATTTTGCACAGAAATCAAGCACTTGGGAATAAGGAAGCGTGTCCCTAACATTGGTAATGAGCATAGACTGGAGTCATAGCTGGGTTTGAATTCCTATTTTGTTACTGTGTGGGCTGTTTTCCTCTTTACTAATATTTAAAGGAGCTGGCACATGATTTTTTTTTTTTTGGTGCCATGGCTCTGGTATGAACTGTGCACATAATTTTGGTAATCGAAATTTCTGGGAAGAAAATTCACCTATAACTCCACTACCTCAACAAATCAAATTGTTTGATTTTTAGAGATTTTCCTTCAGCCCTTGACCATGAGTATCTATCATGTAAATGTAATGACATTTTTGGAAAAAGTCAAATTTTGAAACATTGGTGTCTTCTGGGGTTTTAATTATATAAATGAAGCTGTCTGGTTTTGCCTTTAATAGTTCAAATAATAATTATTTACGGTTTTTGAGGACTTCTTTTGTGCCCCTGTGGTTGCCAGTATTGCACATTATCTCATTTGATCTTCACACTGCCTCTTTCATCTAAGTACTATTATTCCATTTTGTAATTAAGAAAACCAAGGAAAAAATTAGCCAGGGGCTGGGTGCAGTGGCTCACGCCTATAGTCCCAGCACTTTGGGAGGCCAAGGTGGGTGGATCACTTGAGGTCAGGAGTTTGAGACCAACCTGGCCAACATGGTGAAACCCTGTCCCTACTAAAAATACAAAGAAATTAGCTGGGCGTGGTGGCGGGCACCTGTAATCCCAGCTTCTCGGGAGGCTTGAGGCAGGAGAATCATTTGAACCTGGGAGGCGGAGGTTACAGTGAGCTGAGTACGCGCCATTGCACTCCAGCCTGGGCGACAGAGCGAGACTCCATCTCAAAAACAAAACAAAAAACAAAGAAAACCAAGGGCATAGAGAGAGAGAGAGAAACACCAAGTCAGAAGCTGGAGCAGTCATTCAGGTCTAGGCAGTCTGACCTTAGAGGATAGTGCTATATTGGGTTCTATATTTGTAGATTTGCTTTATGGATGTTAGGTCATATTTGTAGATTGGACTTGATCCTGGAGGCTGACTTATAACTTTCTTTGTATAAAAGTAACAGTATTTACAGTTTTTTGTTTGTTTCTTTTTTGAGATAGGATCTCTCTCTCTTATCCAGGCTGGAGTGCAGTGGCACAATCACGGCTCACTGCATCCTTGACCTCCCAGTCTCAAGTGATCCTCCTACCTCAGCCTTCCAAGTAGCTGAGACTACAGGCACACACCACCATACCTGACTAATTTTTGTATTTTTTGTATGAACAAGGTCTCGATATGTTGCCTAGGCTGGTCTCTGAACCGTTGGGCTCAAGCAGTCCTCTCCTGCCTGAACCTCCTAAAAGGCTGGGATTATAGGCATGAGCCACCATACCTGACTACAGTATATTTTGAAGTACTGTATAAAGGTACTTTATAACTATTTTTTCTTTTCTTTTTCTTTTGAGACAAGGACTTGCTGTGTTGCCCAGGCTGGAGTATAGTGGCACTATCATGGCTTACTGCAAACTTGAACTCCTGAGCTCAAGCGATCCTCCCACCTCAGTCTCCCAAATAACTGAGACTGCAGGCACACACTGCCACACCCAGCTACTTTATAGTGAACACCAGAGTCATCTGGCAAATCTGTTAAAACATAAATTCCTGTAGGAGGCTCTCAGAGATTCTGGTCTAGTGGGTCTAGGTTGGGGCCTGAATTTGTACTTTTAGCAAGCTCCCAGGTAATGCTAGTGATTCCCAGCTAGTGAGTTTAATATAGTAAGGAAACAAACACTTGTTGTCCATATTGTTGACTTGATAGTTATACCCCAGTAGCACTGAGCATTCAGATCTTGGTTTTTAAAGGAACTAGGACTTTTTAGAGAAGTGGCTGATTTAGTGCGGGAGCAGAGAAAATACAAGATGAGCCTGAAAAATCTTATGGTGCTTGAAAGTAAGGAAATGCTACAAAAAGTTAGGGACCTTGTCGAAAGGACCCAAGAGCCAACTTGAAGGAGTTCCTGGTATCCAGGTTGGAACAATTTGAGCAATAAAATGAATAATGATAGTATTGGACTTTAACCCATAAAATAAAATGAGTTCATACTGATATTGCTGAGTGAATAAATAAGTAGGGGAGAAGGGACAACTCTAACAGAAGAATTCCATTTAATAAACATAGAAGGAAAGAAGGAAATACAAAACCACCATTAGGGAAACAGTACCATAGTAGTTGTTGCAGACAAAATCCAGTTAGAGGAAAATCAGAATATTTACATAGTCTCAAAGTATCTCTCCCAGGATAATTATTAACTACAAAGAAAAAATAGTAATCCGACAGTGGAGGTACTATGTTAACAAAGTGATCAAGGTTAACATCACCAGTAATGAGACAAGGACATCATGAACCCAAAGAGGCAGTGAGAAGGACACAGCGGCATTTCTGTGACGTTTGTTATTCTTGCCAAAAATGCATAATCTTTTTATCTTTCTAATCATGATAAAATATTGTAAAACTCTAAACTGAGGAACATTCTACAAAATAACTGGCCAGGTCAGGTGCAGAGGCTCATGTCTGTAATCCCAGCATTTTGGGAAGCCAAGGCAAGAGGATCGCTTGAGCCCAGGAGTTCGAGACCAGCCTAGGCAACATAGCAAGACCACGTGTCTATTTTTAAAAACAAAAAACACCGAACCCAAAATAACTGACCAGTATTCTTCAAAAGTGTCAAGGTCACAAAGACAAGAAAGGGTCACAAATGACAGGTAAAGACTGAGGAACTGTCATAGACTAGACACTAAGGAAAAATAACAACTAAAAGAAATCGTGAAATCTGAATATGGCCTCTAGTTAATTGAATTGTGCCAATGTTGATTTCTTGTTTTCGATAACTATGCTTTAATTATGTAAGATGCTAGATGAAGGATATAATGGAACTGTGTGCTATTTTTGCAACTTTTCTGTAAGTCTAAAATTAGTTCAAAATAAAAAGTTTAATAAAAATATGTTGACTTGAAGTAGATACTAAAAGTGATTAGGGAAGTTGAACTAAACCTGGCAGTCAGTTGTGCCACCCACTGTCAGAAATCTTAGCAAACTCTTAGATCCTTCGTGCATAGCTTAATACCTCTACGTGGTCAACCGAAACTAGAGATACAAGTCAAAGGAGTTGGGAGGGAGTATGAAAAAGGGTAAGTAGGAAAGGAAGGCTTTCTGCACTCAGAAAATATCTGTAGAATTTGATCTGCGCCAGGCATTCAATTCCTGTGTAAAAAACAATTCCCTAAGGAAGTAGAGTGCTTTTTGTTCCGAGGCTAGTACTTTTTCAAACTTCTTTCAAAAATCTAGAATAAGTCACCAGTTAGTGAAAATACAGAGAAACGAAAAATTGTGAAAATAATAATGCTGGGATATTATGACAGTGGATATGGTACAGAGGAGTGGGCAAGACTTAGAAATTTAGTTTTAGACAGACAATAAATAGCTAGCACAAGTTATAGAAATACCTAAGCTTGGCACCAGATCTGACTGTTGAAAGTTGTGTATTAGCCTTAAAGGTTTGGCTGCTGGTGTTTTGAAGTGAAATTGTAGACAGAATTTGGACCATGGGCTTTTGGAGCATTAGAGCAACATAGATAGAAATGTACCAGTAGGTTTCCAAACCAGTTGTTCTCCTTTATGGCCATGCCCCTCAAAAAGTATGGTAGCAATGCATACACACCTGTTTCGTTTGTCAGTTCCTGGGGCAAGAGAGAGGAGAACATTCTGCAGCTATTTTCTAACCTTGGGTAATATTTTTTATTTGGCTTCTCTGTTCTAAAGAGGGAACAGTGTGTGTACTAAATAGTACTGAAGATTGTCATCCATATGCCTTCTCTCAGTGATCTCAAGATTGCCAAATTAAAAGTAGTTTCTCACAAAACAAGTTGACTTTTTTCCAGGAGCATTTTATTTTCAACAAAAAATTATTTTAGATTATATGAATTCAAAAAGAAGAATGATTCCTTTTTTCATACTCCTTAATCTCTCATTATCTAAGGTAGTTGTGAAATAGGAAACTCTTAAGATTTCACTTTGTGTATGAAACTTATTGGAGAAACCATCTCATACAAAAAAAGTTATGATTATTGATTAGCCTTGACTGTAGTACCCCCTAGAAGAAAATATTTAAAATGGGAATTCAAGAGAGTTTAAAGCATTTATACTTTTTCTATGTGCCTATCTTGATTTTATGTATCATATGAGGAATTGGTTGAGGCTGAAGTCTAAGGGATAAATTGCCTGGAAAAGTCATTCCAATCCAGACTCAGTCTGAAACTTAATTATTATGCTACCACAAAAAAGAATAAGGGAATTTTTATCTATTGAAGGCAGATTTGAACTTACTAACATACATTCAGGAAATAGCAAAGAACAAGATAGACTATTTAGAGAAGTTAATTAAAAAGTTGCCATGGTTAGTTGATGTAAATTTCAGTGGATTAAATAGAACTACATTTTCTATTTTGGTGTGAAAGTACTATTTTCTTTTCTAAATTTTCTTTTAATAAAGTTTCAGGAAGGATCTTAAATTTATTTTAGTTTACATACACAAAACCCCTGATTTGTATTTTCTTTTGTATAGCATTTGTGCAGTAGAGAAGCTCCTCAAATTTTGTTTTTTTGCTCACTGTTTTTAGTGAAGGAGGTTTGAAAATACAAGCATCCCAGCTTTTGCTGTGGGCCTCCCTAAATTTCCTGTGATCTCTACAGGGGATCTTTTTATATCCCTCTAAGAGCCCTTAGCCTACAGGGGATCTTTTTATATCCCTCTAAGAGCCCTTAGCCTTCACCTAAATCACTGGTTCCAGTCTGGATTCCCTAGACATCTAGAAGTCCTGAATGATTTTCTTTCTGTATCCATAGTACTTGGCATTGGGCCTAGCACATGGTGCGCTCCTCAAATAAGTGAAACAATTATGTTTAACAATCATAAAGTAATGGTAGTTCTCAAGGTATTTTTATTTAGCATTTCTAAAAACCTAATGATAGTCATATACTTACCTTAAATCAGCTGCTTAGGACTTAAGCTAATGAAGTTGAGAAAGGAAGCCAGTTTTAGGATATCCAGATCTTTCCAACTCTGTGTTATAGGGATATAAAGTATTTTGTCTAATTTAAAATAATGGAAGTTTTTAAACCAAGGCTAGTAGCATTAGTTTTTTGTTTTATTAGAACTTCTGTTTGGCAGATCTACATATCCGATTACTAAAAATGAGAAAACGAAATTATTACAAGACTGCAGATTGTTTGGACATCTTTCCAAAATGGAGGAGGAGGGGTGGGATTGGAAAAAAGTTACCTTTGATAGCAAAATGGTTAGGAACCATAGTGCCTAATGGTCCTGAATCATTTCAGATTCCTCTAGGAGTTTAAAAGGATGTACCATCTTTTTGGAAAAAAATGCACATGTGTATGTAAAAAAAATTTTTTTTTTTTTGGAAATGGAGTCTCACTCTGTCCCCCAGGCTGGAGTGCAGTGGCGCGATCTTGGCTCACTGCAAGCTCCGCCTCCTGGGTTCACGCCATTCTCCTGCCTCAGCCTCCTGAGTAGCTGGGACTACAGGCGCCCGCCACCACGGCTGGCTAATTTTTTTGTATTTTTAGTAGAGACAGGGTTTCACCATGTGTTAGCCAGGATGGTCTCCATCTCCTGACCTCGTGATCCACCCGCCTTGGCCTCCCAAAGTGCTGGGATTACAGGCGTAAACCACCGTGCCCAGCCGTAAAGATTTTTACATGTAATTTCAGAGGATTCAGGACTCCTGGAAGTTTATCCTGTATTTTTTGGTGTGGAAGTGAAAAATTATGAGGGGTGATTTCTCCCACCGCCAATATTTATTCATAGTGGAAGAGTATCCTTTGGCTTTGTGAGCAGATTAAATGAGTTAATACGAATAAAGTGTTTAGAACAGAAAATAGCACTCCATAAGTGTTAGCTACTAAGTGTTATTATCTGACAGAGGGTTACTGTATACTGTTTAATATCCTGCCAAATAAAGTTTTCTGAGTTGTATATTGCTTGGAGGAACTGTGCCTTTTTCTAATTTGTACAAAGGCGTCATGTGAAATAGCAACTTCCCTACACAGAAATTCATGCCTTCAGAGAGTATGCTAAGATAAACCCTCTTTTGTACAACCATTAGGTAGGCTTCTTTTACCTTATTTCTATGAAGAGATGGTTGCTTAAAATTTTGTGAGGAAAACAAAGATCCATATCCTTCTATATTGCTCTTCTTTATCCCAATGTAAGTTACCTGCTTTGCCTCTGAGCAGATTAACTGCTACTGGTCTTGTCCACAGTGTGAAAGTTTGGTTTTGCTTATTAACCTCTTTCTCTTTTAAACATTATAAAATATTGAATAGAGATGCTGTAAGCTATTAGGATTTATGATACAGTGGGTATTCTTGTACCTTCACCCAGTTAAAGAAAACAAAATTACAATTATCTTTGAAATTCTTTGAATGCCCTCCATCCCCCACCCTTCCCTCTCCCATCAGAGGTAATAATTATCCTCAGGTTTGGACTTAATACTTCTTTTTTTTTTTTTAAAGCTTTATTGCAGCCGGGCACGGTGGCTTACGCCTGTAATCCCAGCACTTTGGGAGGCTGAGGCGGGCGGATCACCTGAGGTTCGGAGTTCGAGACCAGCCTGACCAACATGGAGAAACCCCGTTTCTACTAAAAATACACAGTTGGGCTGGGGTGGTGGCTCATGCCTATAATACCAGCACTTTGGGAGGCTGAGGCGGGCAGATCACCTGAGGTTGGGAGTTCAAGACCAACCTGACCAACATGGAGAAACCCCGTCTCTCCTAAAAATACAAAAGTAGCCGGGCATGGTGGTGCATACCTGTAATCCCAGCTACTCGGGAGGTTGAAGCAAGAGAATCACTTGAACTCAGGAGGCGGAGGTTGCAGTGAGCCAAGATTGCACCATTGCCCTCCAGCCTGAGCAACAAGAGTGAAACTCCGTCTCAAAAAAATATCCCTAAACAACACATTAATTTTATATCCTTTTGAAACTTTATGTAAGTGGAAAGTTTATATAAGAATGTGTGCATGTGTTTATTTTTTTCCTTGTGCTACTTGCATTTTTTTTTTAAGCTCAACATTCTTGAGTTTCATCTGTGTTTAGAATGACAGTATCCTATTGTACAGCAATACCTTAATTTATTCATTCTCCCGTTCGTGGCCATTGTGGCTGTTATTTTGCTATTACACAGTGCTACCATGAATATTTTTATTCATGTTTTTAAATGTACAGGTGCAGTTTCTCTAGGGTATGTGCCTAAGAGTGCAACTGCTGAGTTATAGGAAATGCACATCTTCAGTTTTACTAGGTAATGCCAATTCCAAAAGTGATTGTACAGATTTATAGTCTTGTCATTAGACTATAAGAATTCAAGTTACATTTTATTTTTGTCATTTATTCATTCCAGAAATATTTATTGGACACTATAGCAGTAAATAGAAAGGTAAAATGTCCTGCTTTCAGGGAGTTTATATTTTAGTGGAGAAAAATAGCCAAAATAAATAATATAGCAAAATGGTACCTGTTTTATGTGAAAAAAATAAAGCAAGCCTAGTAGTACTTGTTATTGCATTGCTGATAGAGCCATATGGGGGGATTTGAGGCTAAGGGGATGGGATATAACCAAGAAGTCCTGTGTTTCAGGTGGTGATTGACATGAACAGAGATATAGGTATGAGATTGGTCCTGATGCTTTCAAGCAGATAATTGAAGCTGTATTGAAGCTGTGAGTGTTGGGGTGGGGATAGGGGTTAGGAATCTTGCCAGGAGCATTTTCCCAGGCCCCTCTCTTCACTCCTACTCATCCAGTAGCTCTAAGGCTAAAGAATGAGTGAGGAAGCTGGTAATGGGTGGTATTATTTTGAGCATTTGGAGTTCTGGGGCCCCCTGGTGGCTCTTGCCTACAGAGGTTTAAAGGACCAGGAGAGGAGGGAAGACTTGTCTGAAACATATGGAACGGTGGAGTTCTCTTGATGCAGGAATACTTGGAATTCTAGTGCTTGTTTGATTCTTGAAGTTGTAAAACTGAAGGTTGGGGAATGGATGGAATTATTCTGAGCACTTGGAGCTTTAGGGCTTTCTCTTGACTCCTACCAATAGAGTCCTCTGGGAGGAGTGGTTTTTGCTATAGTATGTGGAACCCCCTTTGTCAGTTTTTGTAGTGTGGTAGATGTGAAATAGTATCTTGCTGACACTACAATAGTATCTTGTTGCATTTACTTGATTTCACTCTAAAAATGTAAAATCTGATCAATTAAATGTCAGACTTTTAATTTTTTATCTTTTGTGTTTATCCACCATTGTGGGAGTTTTATTCGTCATCTCTCTGTACCATGACTAGAGACCCAAGATTTAATTCAGTAGCTGAAGCTTTCACTGGTAGCTCTTGTCAGCAGACCCTCAGGGAAATCTATTATGCCCTGTGCTATCAGCACCAAGTATCTAGTCATTGAGTCGGAAACCAAGCCTTTTGTCCACTCTGCCTGAGGAACTGAATTAGTAGCCCTCACCCGTACATTGTTACCTAACCTCAGAAAACACATCAGTATGTCTACTTGACTCTATTTCACCCGCTCTGGGACTTCCATCAAAATATGGGCCCCATGTTGTCGTAGCACTATCAGAGCCTCTTCATTCGCCTTTTAAATTTACCATTTTAAAATCTGAGAATCACAGCTATTACTTCTGTAAGGAGAGTGCTTTGGCTTACCACAACTAAGGCTATAATTCCTTCTATTTTTCAGGCCAGATCTTTATATTTTAACTCATGCCCTCCCCAGCGTCTCTTATTACTCTCATAGGATCAAGTCTCAGAATTTACAAAAAGAACATTGGAGAAAGGCATGGTATATATAGTATTCTGATTCTGTGATACCCTCTAGGTGGCCTTCTAGTTGCTCCATACATCCTACTGTCCCACCTTATTTACATGCTACATCCAGTGTCATGAAGGAATGCAAAGATGATGATAACATCTGCAAATTCCAACTTATTTACTATGCATTTTCCAAGAATAGCTCAGGACTATTGCTCAGGGCTGTGCCTTACTTGCCTTCTCAGAATGACACGGTGTATAAACCAATAAAACTAGGTGGTGGGCACCCGGGCACGGTGGCTCACTCCTGTAATCCCGGCACTTTGGGAAACCAAGGTGGGCGGATCACCTGAGGTCGGGAGTTCGAGACCAGCCTGACCAACATGGAGAAAGCCCGTCTCTACTAAAAATACAAAATTAGCCGGGCATGGTGGCACATACCTGTAATACTTGGGAGGCTGAAGCAGGAGAATCGCTTGAACCCAGGAGGCGGAGATTGCAGTAAGCCAAGATTGTGCCATTGCACTCCAGCCTGGGCAACAAGAATGAAACTCTGTCTCAAAAAGAAAAAAAAACAAACAAGAATAACAAACAACTAGATGGTGAGCAATTAGACTTGCCCCTCTTGATTTTTGACTTTTTTTTAGCCTTCAAAAGGATTTCATTCAACTTTCTATGGTTAGCTTTTAAGAATATTATCTAAAAACTGTGTAAGCTTTTTTTTTTTTTGGATGGATTGAAACCTATTATGGAAAGGCTGTCATCATTAATGTTATCCCATACATTATGGGGATACCATATGTGGCACCCATTTCACAGAAGAGACGTACAAGAGATCGCTAAGTTTTACCAGGTTAGACGTGATTATACAGACCTTATTATTCCCAAGGCACACATGGAGTAAAGAAGAAATATAGTCCTAAGAAATTAAGCTAGTCCTAGTATAAATGATCCAGAATTCTTCCTAGTGCCAACATATCAGTTGGTTTGAACCCATGTTAAATAGTCATGGGAAAACCCATGAGACATTTCTTATCTGCCTTAACTAACCTGAATAATTTCCAAATGCATGTTTCTAATAATAATGTGAACAACTGCAAAACCCATGAGTCGTCTGAAGTTTTATCATTTACAGGTATGTGACGCATTCCCAGACTCTTCAGCCAACTGAGCATCAGCTTCTTCACAGCAATTGGGTCCTGATTAATGTCCTCCCAAGACAGACTTCATTGGATCCACGATCAAGAGGACTCTGCCAGGTTTTTCTGACCCCTCTACATTGCTATAAAGTGCCAAGGCCTTAAGACTTGGGTACGTGTGTTACAACGGCAAGAGTGCCAGCGCCAACAAAAGACCCATTGGACCTGTCAGCTCCTCTGTTTCACCAAGCAGACACAATAACCTTACCAACAAAGCAGAGTAAGCCAAGTGCCTCTGTGTGACACCACCAGCAGCTGATGACGCATAAGAAAAATATAACTAATTTAGACTAGAGCCCTATCTCTTCTTGAGAAGCTGGGATTTGAAGGAGCTATCCTGAGATCTGTACTGCTAGTAAGTGACTGATAACATTATAAACTGGATCGGTCCCTGAGTTCAGAGACTGAGTTGCAATTGAGTGAAAAATAGACAACGAAATCTTGAAGAATTGCACGGAGGTGCAAGCCAAGTTTATTTGGCTCTCCAAATAATATTGGTTGAACTAAGAAATTGGTAAACGAAACCTGTAATAGGACTGGTGTTTGGGCGTCTCTCTCTGTCACTGTTGTCTCTTGCTGTCACATTGCTGTCTGTGTTGTCTTTCTAGGTCCAGATGTTTTCAGATAATTCACATTGCCCTGATTGTGGACAACAGTGGTTCCCTAGTTTAGAACTAGGCCACTGGTTGTACCAAACTGAACTTGTTGAAAATGAATGTTACCAGGTATTCTTAGACCGTATTAACAGAGCTGATTATTGTCCTGAGTGTTATCCTGATAATCCTGCTAATAGAAGCCTTGTTCTTCCTTGGTCTTTCCCACTTGAGTGGGCTCCCCAGAATCTCACCAGATGGACCTTTGAGAAAGCTTGCCATCCATTTCTTCTGGGTCCTCCACTGGTTAGAAAAAGAATACATGACTCTCGAGTAGCTGGTTTTAACCCTGCATTACAGTTAATCTTGACCAGAACAGATAAAACCTTAAACAAAAAACTGGGCCAAAACAAATAGCTTCTATAATAGTCAAAATTGTCAAGTCTAGAGGCTTTTGTGTAGGTAGCCCAAGGAAGATGGAAAAATAATTCATTTCTAAGTCTGACCCAGATTGTCACTACTTTGGGAACTGCTTAAATTGTTGGATCTGCTTCCGTGGCCTATACATATTTTATTCACATGAATTTAGTTAGTATTCCAGCCAGCCTGTTCATCTAGACTGAGGCTAATCTGTTCATCTAGACTGAGGCTAATCCGTATTTCCTATAAACTGTTTTGGAACTAACTTACCACTCCTAAAAAAATTTCTGCAACCTAATGAGTGTCATATGACAAAGTAGTCCTAGAGGGGAAGTCCTATACTGTGTGCTTCATAGTGGTATTTCTAATGATAACTTTTGTGGGAAAGCAGCCTCGTTATAGCTGGATCCTAGATTAGTCCAGTGAATTTTAATAAGAAATTACACTGTTGTAAACTCACCTCTTATGCATTGGTCAGTGATGAGATATATATATAAATAGATAGATAGATAAAATTTGCTCTTATATAGCCATTTATTCATCATTGGCCCTGTTTGGCCCATCCTCAGTGTGGCTGTGAGATTATTGATAACTGGTCACTGTCAGATAAATCACATTCTATTAGGAAACACCTATATAGGTTATGCAGAAACATGCAGAAATGCCACCTGTCCATACTTACGTGGCTTTACATAAACAAAAGACTGTCTTGTCTTTGTGGTGACTGAATTTACAACGTCCTCCCCTGGAAATGGAAAAGTACCTATCAGGAGATGTATGACAAAAGAAATTATCAAGCCTGACTTCATATATATTATGAACAGTCTAGAGGAAGCATCTTTCTTAGAACTAAGGAGGTCTGCTGAACATTGGCCACATTCTGGACTTTCATGAAAATCATGGACCCAGAGTTGGGGTTAAGCCACTTAGAAAAAGCTGTTGAAAACATCTCAAAGGCCACTGAACAATTTTTAAATTACACTTAACATGCCAGGTATCTAGGTATCTAGTGCTTTTAGCAATATTATCAATATTATCAAGGTCCCAGCTTCTTTGTGTCCTTCCCCCTTGCGATCCTCTTTTTTTTTTTTTTTTTTTTTGCTTTTTAAAAAATAGTGACAGAGTCTTGCTGTATGACCCAGGCTGGTCTCCAACTCCTAGGCTCAAGCCATCCTCCCACCTCGGTCTCCCAAGGTGCTGGGATTACAGGCGTGAGCCACCCTACCCGGCCTAGGATCCATGTTTGCTTTTTATCGTTAGGTTTTTTTTTCTCAATGAGTACAATATGACTTCTTGTTGTAACAGACATTTTAATCCCTAGGAAAGGCTGGAAGTAGAGAGCAAAAGGCTTTCTTTCAAGTCAGTGTTTTATTTGGGAATCAAGTCTTTCCCAAAAATCCCTAGCAAATTTCTTCTTACATCTCATTAGAAAGTACCAGTTTACAAGGGAGCCTGGGAAACCTTGGCAAAGGGGAATAGGGTTAGCATTGCCTGGGTAGGCCACATTGCCTCCATTGAAGAAATCAGGGCTTTTTTTTTTTTTTTTTTTTTTTTGAGACAGAGTCTCACTCTGTCGCCCAGGCTGGAGTGCAGTGGCAGTCTTGGTTCACTGCAACCTCTGCCTTCCGGGTTCAAGCAATTCTCCTGCCTCAGCCTCCCGAGTAGCTGGGACTACAGGTGTGCGCCACCACACTTGGCTAATTTTTGTATTTTTAGTAGAGATGGGGTTTCACCATTGTTGGCCAGGATGGTCTTGATCTCTTGATCTCATGATCCACCCGCCTTGGCCTCCCAAAGTGCTGGGATTACAGGCATGAGCCACTGTGCCCAGCCCTTTTTTTTTTTTTTTTTTGACGGAGTCTCGCTCTCTTGCCCAGGATGGAGTGTAGTGGCACGATCTCGGCTTACTGTAACCTCCACCTCCTAGGTTCAAGCAATTCTCCTGCCTCAGCCTCCTGAGTAGTGGGGATTACAGGTGCCCGCCACCATGTCTGGCTAATTTTTGTGTTTTTAGTAGAGACGGGGTTTCACCATGTTGGCCAGGCTGGTCTTGAACTCCTGACCTCAGATGATCCACCTGCCCTGACCTCCGACAGTGCTGGGATTACAGGCATAGCCACCGTGCCTGACCAGGGCTCTTTTAGCAAGGAAAACGTGAGGAATGAATGGCTGTTGGTGTGCAACAAATCATACTTGCTACATGTTGTGAAACCTGAAGTTATTTGTTAGTCTGTATGAAGAATGTACCCCAGAGATGCACCCTGTATCTGCCTTATGTCTCTTACAATGGAGGTTCTCTCCTGTTATATTGCTGAATAAACTATGTGAACTGCTAAATTGACTGAAGACTAGTTAGTTTATCACTAACTCTTTAATGAAGAATTTCACTATCCTACAACTCCTCCTAAAAAGTGAAAATTTACTTTGAGAGAGTGCTTTCGAGAATAGTATTATGATCAGTATTATTGCCCCTAAATTTTTTAATTATTAGAGAATGCTTATGTTACAAGGACATATACTAAGAAACATTCTACAAATGTGAAAATTTAAATATCAGCAAAATAGAGAAAAGGTTTTTGTTTTTGTTTTAGTCAATATCTCCATTAAATAGTAAGATCAGATTAAAAGGATTTATATCATTGATTTCTCAAATCAATACCTAAGCAGTACCTGTGAGAGCTTGTTTAAAAATGGAGATTTCTTGGTCTGCTTTAGAAATTTTGATTCCTCAGGTTGCTTGTAGGGCCCAGGAATCTGCATATTATAAATAACACCTCATGCCGGGTGCCATGGCATGTACCTGTTACCACAGCTACTTCAGAGGTTGAGGCAGCAGGATCACTTGAGCCCAGGAGTTCAAGACCAGCCTGGGCAAGATAGTCAGACCACTGTCTCTTTCAAGAAAAAAAAACAACATAAAAGATATAAATAGTACCTTTGGAGATTCTGATGCAGGTGCTCTCTAGACCATACTTTGAGAAATGCTGTAGTAATATGTCCATAGTGTTTACTTATCTGGCTTAAAAGGATGGGAGCAGAATACTCATAGTACTGCAAGATAGTACCATTTATTTGGTAATACTGGCTATGTAAAAAGAGATTTCATGTCAGACTGAAGATCACTGTTAATAATTTAGGTCATAACTCAGCCACATTTTTCTCATTAATTAAACTAATCAGGAATGTTTCAGTCTTCTTCACAAACAGTTTTGTTCAGTGTCATTATAAACTATGTGAATATATGGGCAAGAAAAATGAATCAAAAATATTAATTTTAATATTAAGAGGGTTACTTTGCCTTCAAACATCACATACCTGTTATATGATAAGCTGTCAGAAATCAACATCATGTAGTAGAGCTCATAAAATTGAGCAAAGGAGAAAATTGAGGAAGCCTTTGAACAAAGCTTTTCACCTTAGGTCTTTCTAGTATGTCTTCATATGGCTTAAAATATTGCAGGTTATTCTAGAATACTCCATAGTTGATATGAATAATGAATTTTATTAAAATATAAATGCTGTGTTGGTAAAATTAATTGTAATGACAAATGATCTGGAGGGTTATCCAGTGTTTTAAATAGTGTGAGCTACACTCGTCTCTATTTTTATAGTGTGGAAGAGTTGGTAATATTGCTTATATGTTATGGTAGCATTTCTAAAATGACCATTATAACTACTCCCTGTTATTTTATGGCAGTCCAGGGAGTGAAAAGGTTAATGGAAACATGCAAGGGCAGACCGGAAAGAAAATACATCCACCAAAGAGGTGGCTGTTGGGGGATATGAGTGAGTGAGGTAAGATTCATCTCTGAGTTACAGGTGAAGGAAGCCCAGGCAAACAGGAAGGCAGAAATGAGTCCATGGCATCCAAAGAATATGTGGCAGTCCACATGTCATAGCTGTCTGTAAAAGTGAGATGAGCCGCAGCCCGTTCATCTCTCCAGTCTCCCTGGCAACCCTGAGTCTCCATGGAATTTTGGGGACACAGCTTGAAAATTGCTTTTTATAGAGGCAAAATAATGGCCTTGCAGCCAGCTGGGTTTCTATTCTAATTCTGATACTATTAAATGACCTTAGGCATTTTAACCTCTCTGTATCTAGTTTCTTCATCTGTGAAAAAGGTTGTGTAATAATACCTACCTCATACTGTTGTGAGGTTTAAGTGCAATAACATATACCAAACATATGGCACATACTAAATCTTTAGGATGAGGAAAGATGTAGGGCAAGAAAGCAAAAGCAGAAGTTAGAACTGGGGAATAAGGTAGAGTCTTACTTGTTTTGTTTTGTTTTTTTGAGACAGAGTCTCGTTCTGTCACCTAGGCTGGAGTGCAGTGGCGCCATCATGGCTCACTGCAGCCTTGACCTTCTGGGCTCAAGTGATCCTCCCACTTCAGCCCCCTAAGTAGCTGTGACTACAGGCTTGCACCACCATGCCCAGCTAATTTTTTTATTTTTGTAGAGATGGAGTATCGCCATGTTGCCCAAGCTGGTCTTGAGCTCCTGGCCTCAAGCGATCCTCTCACCTGGGCCTCCCAAAGTGCTGGGATTATAGGCATGAGCCGCCGTGTCCACCGAGTCTTAGTTTTAGAACTAAGCCAATTGTTTGAACTGATGGCTGAATTATTATAAACTTATTGGCTGGTGGCTCACTGTAATTCCAGCACTTTGGGAGGCTGAGGCAGGAGGATGGCTTGAGCCCAGGAGTTCAAAACAAGCCTGAGCAACATAGTGAGACCCCCAACTCTACAAAAAAGTTTTAAAAAGAAAAAAATTAGCTGGATGTGGTGGTATGTGCCTGTAGTCCCAGCTACTCAGGAGGCTGAGGTGGGAGGATCACTTGAGCCTCAGTGAGCTATGAGCTTGAGGCTGCAGTGAGCTATGATGGTACTACTGCCCTCCAGCCTGGGCAACAGAGTAAGGCCCTTTATCTAAAAACAAAAACAAAAAACTTCTTAAATCTCTCCTGATGAAGGACAGGATTGGTTTGGGGATGAGGTTGAGCCTGTAGTATAAGTCAGATGGTCTTGGGTGTAAAGATTAAAAGGCCTGGAGGGATGGATGACCGAAGGCAGATTTTTGTCACAATGTTTAGGCCCATTTTATAATCTTAATTATGGTAGATATAATTGCTGTATGACTTTTATCACCTGAGACTTTCCACAACACTGAAATAAACAAATTCCTGAAGTGGTAGTTCCCTGAAAAGGAAAAAGAAGAAATAGAGAAAAGTTGAAGGATATGTACAAATTCACTCAGGTCATATGTACTGGAGTCACAATTCAAACCTAGATGTAAGTTTTCCAGAGTCAGGGTGCTTGTGGTATGCTTAATACAAGCTTTTAAAAGTGTCATGGTTAGGTCCCACAGCTAGACTACCTGAGTTCAAATCCTAACTGCCCTCAGTAGTCACGTGTTCTTGGGTAACGTTCTTAACTTTTCTGTATCTCAGTTTCCTCATCTCTAAAATAGTAGGAATATTAATAGTCTACACCTCATAAGATTGTTGTGAAGATTAAACGAGTTAATAAAGTGCTGTGAATGATGCCTGGCACAAAGAAGGCACTCAATAAATAGTAGTTCTTATAGTTGTTGTATATGCTTTATTTGTTACTCGTTTTCATAGCAGGATTGTAACTACTTGTTTCAGGGCCAAGATACCAGTTTCTTTTTATCCCTAGAGCCTAAAATGGCATCATTCACTAAAATAAAATTGTGTTTAAAAATAAAGATATATACTTAATTCTACCCCAACTGTCATACATTTGTCATGATGGCATTTATATCTAAACTACCATCCTGGAATGGCTGATTCTTTTGTGCTCTTCTTGGCTGCTAAACTTCTAATTTCCTTCTCCATTTAAAAAATGGTCTTAGTACTTCCTGATACCTACCCTGCCTCCCCTCCCCAGGTTTTCCCCAGGTCACCATCCCTTCCCCTCTTTTTCACTGGTCGCCATGGCAATGCTAGCAATTTGCAGGATGGAGTGGAGGATGGGTAAGGTCCTTTTGCTCTCCCAGCTCTGATTTTGTTCTCACAGGCAGCTTTTCCGTGTCCTGTCTCTTCTCAGCTGGTTGTGACAAAATGTCTAGGAGGCTATGGTGGAAGCGTACTCCGTAATGTAAGGTCATTGCATGTAGGCTGAAAGAGTTTCCATTATAGGTCTTTCCTTTTGATACTTAATTTTTTTTTACAGAGACTGATTTATTTTATTACTCATTTAAAAAGGCAGTAACTACATCAAACATACAGAAAAGTGCAGAGAATAATATAGTAAGACCTTTGCCCAGATCTAAAATATATGAACATTTTATCCCATTTACCTCAGATGTTTTTATTTTTTTAAGGAAACTTTATGTGTACAGTTGACACCCTCTCTTATTCCTTGCAGAAGCAAGCACTAAATGGAAGTTGATATGTATCCTTTCCATTTATGTATTTATGTTTTGTTATAAATTTATATATGTTAATAATGCTGTACATTATTCTCTGTACATGTACATGCTGTAACATATCACTCTGTAGTGACAAAAAATGGAATACTTTCAAACCTTCATTAGTATCAAATATATATACATACACAAACATATATATGTATGTACATATATTTATTTTGTTTGTTTTTTTCCCCCGAGACAGGGTCACTCAGGCTGGATTGCAGTGGTGTGATCTTAGCTCCCTGCAGCCTTGAACTCCTGGGCTCAAAGGATCGTCCTCCTTAGCCTCCTGAGTAGCTGGGATTACAGGCGTGTGACACCATACCTGGCTAATTTTTAAATTTTTTTTGTAGAGACATCATCTCATTATGTTGCCCAGACTGATCTTGAACTTCTGGACTCAAGCAATCCTCCTGCCTTGGCCTCTCGAAGTGTTGTGAAGGTTAAATGAGTTAATACATAAAGTGATCTGAATGCTGCCTGACACAAAGAAAGCACTCAATAAATAGTAACTTTTATAGTTGTGTATGCTTTATATGTTACTACTTGTTTTCATAGCAGAATTGTAACATCCTGGCTTACATGCATGAGCCATCATACCTGGCCCAAATTTATAAACATGTAATATGTATTGAATTGTAGTTAGCCTTATAGCACTTAATATTGTATGTTGGAATCTTCTAAACTTGGTTATGTAAAAAGTCATTTGGTATACCACACAATGTCACCTACCAGGTAGTCAAAGCATTTACCATTTTACGGTGAGATGAAGTAGAAAGGATACATCTTAGAAGACAGAGCACAAGGCAGCCACATTTACAGAGGAAGCAGTTGAGGCAAATCTGTGTCCCAAGCAGTTGAGGCAAATCTGTGTCCCTCTTAGAAAAGTCCCAGGAAATAGAAATTAAGCAAGGCATCCCTCAGCCGGCCGTCTAGTAGGTTCTCCATAAATGGAGAATAAAACCTTACAGCCTTCACCTGTTACAAGCCTTGATGGAGACAACTAAAGCAAAATGATACAAGTTTTGCTGCAGATTTCAGCGTCACAAGGAAGTGGAAATGACTGTCAGCAATGAGACTACATTTTATTTAAGTAGAAATATGAATCATTATAACCGCCACGTATAGAGCACTGAACACCAACATTTCGTAATTGAACTTGCAAGGGATTCACTCAGAGTGAATGTCTTTTGTTGCCATATGAAGCACACAGGTCTCATCAGTTCCTTGTAGAAGATACTATCAAAAGCATCTATTTTGGGGCATGCTTATGGAGTGGTTTTCCCTACAGCTGTAGAAAGTCTCCAGCTACTGCATTTTCCTTCAGGATGAGGCTCTGCCTCACTTCCATTATGCAGTCCAGAGGTTCCTAATGAACACATACCCTGATAGGGATCAGACACTGTTCAAAAGATTGACCTGCTTGGCTGGGCGCAGTGGCTCATGCCTGTAATCCCCACCACTTTGTGAGGCTGAGGCGGGCAGATCACTTGAGGCCAGGAGTTTGAGACCAACCTGGGCAACATGGTGAGATGCTGTGTGTACTAAAAATACAAAAATTAGCTGGGCACGGTGGTGCGCAGCTGTAGTCCCAGCTATGAAGGCTGAGGCACGAGAATCGCTTGAACCTGGAAGTTGGAGGTTGCGGTGAGCCAAGATTACACCACTTCACTCCAGCCTATGCGAAGAGTGAGATTCTATCTTGGGGGGGAAAAAAAGATTGACCTGCCTCTGAAACAGTGGCCTCCAGATCTCTCAGATACCCTGCCATGTGACCTTTTCTGAGGATTTGTCAAGAACTTCCTTGTTTGTCCCACTTCTTGTACTGTAAGGGAAATGCCATTTCAACTATGAACAGTGATGATATGTTACAAAAGGTCTGAATGAAGTGGGGTGTAGGATCTGTGTGTGCTTTGTGACAGGAAAGGTGTATGTCAAGCATTTGTAAGATAATAGAAATATCTGTGATGGCACCTTTGCAGATTCTTTTGGACTGCAACCTAGTAACCAAGTAATACATTTTTGAAAACCTTCAGTTCTGTTTGTTTGCAATAAGGTTTATTGAGGATAATCTATGTCACATACAATTAATGTACAGATTTTAAGTTTGATAACAAATGGAACCACCACCTCAGTAAAGATATTAAACATTTTTTTTTCTTTTTTGAGACGGAGTTTTGCTCTGTCGCCCAGGCTGGAGTGAAGTGGTGTGATCTTGCCTCACTGCAACCTCTGCCTCCCAGGCTCAAGTGATCCTCCCACCTCAGCAGCTGGGACTACAGGTATGCACCACCACGCCTGGCTAGTTTTTGTATTTTTTTTTTGTAGAGATGAGGTTTCACCATGTTGTCCAGGCTGGTCTTAAACTCCTAAGCTCAACCGATCTGTCTGCCTTGGCCTCTGAAAGTGCTGGTATTACAGGTGTGAGCCACTGTGCCTGGTCAGCAGTACTTCACTGCTATAATTTTACAACTTTTAAAGATAACCTAATTTATTTTAATTGCTATGCATAATATTACATTGTAAGAATATGACAATTTTTTAAACCCACTTTCTTATTAATGAACATTTAGATTTTCTAATTTTTTCCTCATTTTAAACAATACAGCAATGGACATTTTGGGGCGTATTAATGAGATTCTCTATTATACGTCTAAAAATGGAGTTGCTGATTTGTAGAGTGTGTGCCTTAATTTTCCTTGCCATATTTCTCTCTAAAGTTGTAGTAACAGGTTTACTTCATTGCCATTAGGGGTTTAAGAGCTCTCTGTATCTCTAAATCCTCATCAACATTTGATATTGCCTGACTTTTTACCAGTCTGCTGGTGTGAAATGTTATCTCACCATTAATTTATTTTTTGTATTTCTTTGACTGTTTTTTAATATTCATTAGGTTTTCATATTTCCTCTTTGTTGAACTGCTTATTCATCCCTTTACCCACTTTTCATAGCATTATTTGTCTTTTACTGATTTGTGGAATTCTTTATGTGTTCTCAATATTAATTCCTTACTGGTTTTATGTGTTGCAGATGTTTTTCTAGTCAGAGACTTACCTTTTAATTTTGATACCTTGTGTAGAAATTAAAATTTTTTAATAGGGTCACATTTGTCAAATTTTCCTTTCTGGTTTGTGTATTGTATATCTTATTTAAGAAACCCTTGCAGTTATAAAGATATTTGATATTCTCAAAGTTTAAAAGTTTTGCTGTTTACATTTAGGTCTTTAATCTGGAGTTGATTTTTATATGAATAGGAGACAGAAATCTAATTTTTCCCCCTATTTGAATAGTCAGTTGTCCCCACGCTATTTATTCACTAATTCATTATTTCCCTTTTGTGAATTGGCCAATTTCCTTATGTATGTATGCATATATTTCTTGACTCTCTATTCTGTATACTGTTTGTCTATTCGTGTGCTAGTGTTCCATTGCTTTTATTACTTTAAGTTTTTTGTTTGTTTGTTTGTTTTTGACAGAGTCTTGCTGTGTCACCCAGGCTGGAATACAGTGGTGCAATCTGGGCTCACTGCAACCTCTGCCTCCCGGGTTCAAACGATTCTCTTGCCTCAGCCTCCTGAGTAGCTGGGATTACAGGCATGCGCCACCATGCCCGGCTAATTTTTGTATTTTTAGTAGAGATGGGGTTTCAGCATGTTGGTCAGGCTGGTCTCGAACTCCTGACCCTTGGGTGATCTGCCCGCCTCAGCCTCCCAAAGTGCAGGGATTACAGGCATGAGCCACCGTGCCCACCCTATTTTTAAGTTTAAAGAAGTTTTGATATCTGGTAAAGATTGCCCCCCTTCTTTAGAATTATGCTGACTCTTCTTGATCCTTTGCTGCTCTTTGTGAATTTTAGGACCCACTTTTCCATTTCACTAGAAACCAACAATAATCAAAAAACTTGAGATTTTGTTTCAAATTGCATTAAATTTGTAGATTAATTTGGAGAAAATTGGCATCAATGGTTTTGAGTCTTATTTGTCTATGCATGATATTTTTTTTTCTGTTTACTTATCTCTTTTTTATAGACTTCAATAAAGGTCTATATTTTTCTCTCTAAAGTTGTGTTTTAAAGAAACAGCTTTATTGAGGTATAATTTACATACCATAAAATTCACCACTGTCTAAAGATCTTACATATCTCTTGTTGGATTTATTACTAGGTATCTTTTAGTTTTTATTCTAGGTTCCTTAAGGTTATTGTGAGTAGCATCATTCCTTTTGAAAATTTTTGTTATTGGTACATAGGAAACTTTTAGCCTATTTTCTTGGTTTTGGCTGGCAGGAAAAATTTTTTTAACAAAACTTAAAAAGGACTGGGGACTTTTTATTTTCTGTCATGAGCTAGGATAGGAGAGAAAACTTCATTCCAACATATGATGGCTTGAAAGCCCAATCCCAGGAGCTTGAAGAAGATAAAAGAGCTGACAAGGAACCCTCTGAACACTTCGCTAAGTGTTCACAGTGGCAGAAAGAAAATCTGTCCCTAACTCTTCTCTTCCCTTCCAATTTATCTATGGCATCACTCTTTATTTATACATTCATTTATTTTTTCATAAGCTTTTAAGTTAAAATATGGAGTTCTTACTATACACTAGGCACCGTGTAGGCATTGGGGATCAAAGTTTTTAATGTGTAAATTTAAATTTTACAAAAGAGTACTGAGAAAAACATAAAGACGGCCAGTTGGCTAGCCTTCCAGCTAGGCTGTCAAAAAACTATAACACTTCACACAGGTTTTTCTTATATATTTTTGTATTTAAGCCTCATAGATATCATTATTCTCATTTTCATAGGGAATAAATATTAAGTAACTTTATTGATCAATTTGTTTTTGACAAAAAAAAGAACTATAAAATATGACTGTTTTTATTGCTTATAAAGTGCCTTTGATTTTGATTCCTTTTGTGTAAACCTTAATAATTTTCTTTGTCTGTCTTTGAGCATTGCATAAAAAGGCATTGTATAAAGGAATATCTGTCTCCATATTTTACAAAAGAATACTTCGAGAAAACCACTTCAAAGTCAGTCCAAATGTGTAGTGGTACACCTCAAAGCAGCCATCTCAGTTTGTGGGAACCTCCTGTGCATTGTTACTTTTTAATATAAGTGAAAGCTCCTGATAGGCAGACTATGAGAAAATTATCTGGGACAGAAATTGAAGACATCCAGGAAATCTGCAGTGATTGTTTCAGCAATGACTTAAATTTCTACTCTTAGATTTATTTTTTATTTTAATTCAAGCTAGTCTGTTGAAGATTCTGGTCACTTGATCTTACTTTTTATACTCTTTCAACTATGCTGGAATATATTAGATTATGAAATTCATGAAAGATTAATAATCTGGAGCTTTTTTCAGTAGTCTAGGATTTGGAATATGATTCTCATGAAAGGAAATTTTCTTCACGAAAAAAGTTTCACAGAGGAAATAGTACTCAAGCTACACATATTTAATAAATAAAGCTGATACTTGCATTTCTCCCTTGTATGGATAAAAAGTCATTTAATTTTTTTTCATTTTGTTTTAGTCACTGTATATATGCCTTATTTCCTGGGTCCATGGGAAGCATGAGTCTGTTGGGACTTGGGACAAGAAGAAAACAAGACATCTTCACAAGGAAAACCAAGTACTAAAAAAAGTATCCTCCCAACTCTGAAGAGATAGAACACAAACATGGCCGACAGTGGACTTAGGGAACCTCAAGAGGGTAAGACTGATTTGTCTGGCACTGAGGTTGCTGCTGTAGGAAACCAGGGGTGTGCAGAGAGAGAAAATCTCTGATGACTAAAATCTGAGGTTTTGAAGTAAAAAAGCTAATTCAGTGGGTTCATTTGTTTTGATTATACTTATTCTTTCAAATTTACTGAATTTTACTATAATGCGAGACCCTAATTATAATATAAGGAAGATAAATGTTTTAGAGACTCCAATAGTAAGGACTTATAGTAATGGAAAAATACAATGCTTCTTTAAAAAATGATGGTAGACAAATCTTTAGAGTTATATATATCCTGTGATGTGCTATATTTAGAAGGTATCTTTCTTCTTCCTCTTCTTCTCCTTTTTTTTTTTTTTATGTTACCCAGGCTGGAGTGCAGTGGCGTGATCTCAGCTCACTGCAACCTCCGCCTCCCGGGCTCGAGTGATTCTCATGCTTCAGCCTCCAGAATAGCTGAGATTACAGGCGCCTGCCACCACACCCAGTGAATTTTTGTATTTTTAGTAGAGACGGGGTTTCACCATGTTGCCAGGCTGGTCTTGAACTCCTGACCTCAGGTGATTCACCTGCCTTGGCCTCCCAAAGTGCTGGGATTACATGCATGAGCCACCACATCTGGCCATTCTTACTTTTATTAAAGAAACAAAGTCTTTTGGAATTTCCCACGTGCTGGGTTTTGCTGATTATATTCTTGAGGCATAATTTAATGTATTCCTGTATCCCTATATTTCTTGGAAACTGGTTGCTCTAGAAACTTACCAGATTTAAGTTTAGTTGTTTGGCAAAAATACTTCCCAAGTGGTCTAGAGTACTTCTTACTGCATTGTATTAGAAAGTAAATGATATCTGTTTGGGTTTCCCTGTTTTCATGATGTGAAGATTGGTCGCTGGGTTCAGCAGTTGTCAGTCTGGCTCATCCACTATAAAAGTCCCTATCAGCCTTTTGCATAAGGTTTTGCTACCATTGATGAGCATTGCCTTTCATTAGGGAAGAGGATATATTTAATATAGCCAAAAGTTTGTTCTGTCATATAATTTGTTTTATATTAGTGTCATTTTATATTTATTAACATGATAAGATTTTTTTTGTTGTTGTTTTAATTGCCTTTAGTGGGAGCCAAGAGAAATAATGTTTAGGAAGTGTCTTGTAAACCATGAAAATCTATGTAAATATTATTATTAAACAGGGACCTTGTTAAAATATAAATTTATGGGGAATTTTTTCCAATAAAAATTATAAACTTTTATCTCAATAGACTCTCAAAAGGATTTGGAAAATGATCCATCAGTAAATTCTCAGGCGCAGGAGACCACAATCATAGCAAGTAATGCTGAAGAAGCTGAGATCCTACACTCTGCCTGTGGT